>NC_000010.11:54991580-55143095 GCF_000001405.40 Homo sapiens
TTTTATCCCATGATTTTTCATTAAAATATTAGTAATGTCTTACATACCTCAGGCACTTTTCATTTAAAAGACAGCGGCTATGATAAAAATTTTGACCTTCTCAACATGTCTCTTAGGGATAAATGGCAAAAGTTAGATCAGCTAGGTGAGGAGATATTTAAAATCACTCGACTTATTTATCAGTGGAGCTGAAAATAAAACTGATGTCTTTTTACAAACTTGCTTTATAATATTATGCCTTATTGAAATATATTCTAGCTGAAAAGCAACTAAGTAGGGCATACTGTTTCCAAAGGTGCTTTTAGTATATATTTAAAATATTAAATAATTGATACATTAGAAACTCAAAACTATTATTTGAGTTTACAAATAAGACAACGGCTAACATATTTTATATAATATCTTTCAGTTTGTAACATGCTTTCTCATATTATTTCCCCAAAATTAAAATGCCTACTTGATTGATGCAAATGTTTCTATGATGATAATATTTAACTATATTTAAAAGAAAAAATAAAGAATTTTTTAAAAATCACTCTATAATATAAACCTCTTGAAGGAAAATGTATTATTAAATATTTTACCAACCCTGTACTACTTATTTCTGAGAAATCCATCTTCACTTCTATGGAAAATATGTTTCTCCACCACACTGCCATTTGATCAATGTGTAAACAGCAATTGTCTTAAGTGAAAATGTCCTCTTGATCATAACTACTGGTCAAAACATGAACACTTGATCCAAGCTGAGGCAATAACTTCGTAACGAAGGATACGAGGATGAGCATGCAGCTCAAGTCAGTTGACCTAAAGTTTTCAGGACAGAAAACCAGACCCGCCCTCAGCAACATCCTCTTATACCTGAGAATCCAGTGAAAAAGGGTGAAGTTGATCGGGCGCAGCGGCTGACGTCTGTAATCCCAGCACTTTGGGAGGCCGAGGCGGGCAGATCACAAGGTCAGGAGATTGAGACCAGCCTGGCTAACACAGTGAAACCCTGTCTCTACTAAAAATACAAAAAAAAATTAGCCGGGCGTGGTGGCAGGCGCTTGTAGTCCCAGCTACTCGGGAGGCTGAGGCAGGAGAATGGCATGAACCTGGAAGGTGGAGCTTGCAGTGAGCAGAGATCAGGCCACTGCACTCCAGCCTGGGCGACAGAGTGATCCTCCATCTCAAGAAAAAAAAAAAAAAAGTGAAGTCAACATGAAGATAAGCAAAAATAATAGATGGAGAGATTTCCTTGCTAGCTTTTGGGTCTCTGGTTTGCTTTACTATTTAATTTATTTATATTTTAGAGATAAGGGTCTCACAGACTTATCACACGACCTTATTTTCAATACTAAAAGATAATGTTTGCTGCTCTTTATAGAATTGGTTGAAAATAGTCCAAGTAAGTCAGGGAAGTTGGAATAGCAGAAACTCCACCAAGATGGTGATCTTGGTGTAGTATTGATAGATCTTGACTGTAGTATTGTAAAGGAAGAATTATGGTGGCTTAGCATGGTGTACAGACACTGAATATAAAGAAAACCAGATGCATATGAGATTGGTTTGAGATACGACTGAAAGGACTTGGGGACAGATTGAATATGGGGGTCGATGAGGGAAATAGAAGAATTCAAAGAAATTTTCAGGCTAAACAAACAATTAAAGACCTCAAAGTCAGAAGAATAAATAAAGATCTGAAGCTGAGTTGCTTATAGCCAAATTTGATTAGCCATAGAACTGAAAGCTTCTGAGGTTGGGTGTGAGAGTACAGGTAGGTCATCTGCTATATGCAATATGAGAAATGCAACTGCAATATCTACATTAAGCCACAAATCATGAATACCTGCTTGACTATGTCCTCTGTAATGGAATTATGAAACATTCTGTCGACTCTCTTAAGAAAACATCAGGAAATCTTGTAGAAATAGAGGGATCCCTTTTGTTTGGATGACTTAGACTTTATTTCCAGAGGTATCTTGTATTTAACAAAATGGATATTGGACAGCTACTCAAATTCACACTGAATTTGAGTAGCTGATGAATGAACTAGAGGTAAAAAAGTAGTAATACGCAACACACAACACATTTCATGAGTTTTGCTGTGAAAAAACACAAGTGAGGTAGAGCCTCTTAAGACACCAGATAACAAGAACATGCTGAGATATCTCTGGAAATGGTGCTAAAAAGAGAGGAATTAGTAATACAGAAATGAGAAAATCTACAGTGAAAATATATTTATTTTTTGTTACTGAATAAAATAAATTTTACTTTAATGACACGAAAAGATCAACCATCCCTCATCCAACAAATTAAAAAGTCAGAAATTATCATTTACAGCAATGACAAAAAGTGTTTCTGATTTATAGTTATTCTGAAAATAACATTTTTTCAAACACTTTTCACCTGAAATCTAACCAGACTCCTGTACATAATTTTGATGTTATTAAAATTTACATTCACTTGAAAGAAGCAAAGTTTTAAACCCAGATGTCAAAAACATGACACCAAATCCCACAGAGAATCCATGGATGTTGAGTCTCTTCAAAATTTAAAATTATGTAGCTTTTTAAAAAATGATGTTTTCCCTTTACTCATAAGAATATTTTATTACCGCAACCTGGCTTCACCTTAATCTTTGTCATTCCTAATTAATGTCCTAATTAATGACTCTCTGTCATTTCTAATCAATGTAGAATGTGTACAACAAATTTCAGTTTCACAAAGACAAATCCATAAAAGCAAGTGCAGGTGTTTAAACCATGAATTTGGGGCAGTTACTTTCAGATGTCAAAAATAGCAGCCTAGTATCTGCAAAGCAGTTGCCTGATATAAAGAATTCTTAAGAAGATGCAGTTTTATAACAGTAATGAAAAAAATACTATATCTAGAAAATATAAAGTATATATTTCTAGGTATAGTCTATAAATACAGTAAACTTTTGTGATCTCCGTGAGTTCTGAGAAACTTGTTGATAGTTTTATTTTCAGATTATAGAAGTTTACATTATAAAATTTATTATAAATTTTGGTTATAACTATTATTATAACTAGCATAAAAGATTAGTATCTTTGTCAGACAATGTTATTATAAACCAAGTGTATTTATAAAACATATGTGTATATATGTATATGTGTGTGTATAAAATACCTATAACTTCATATACAATAGCCATTTACTTGGGATGCATTAATATTTTGTTAGAAGAAACACAACCTAATCTACAACCATTACATAGGTTTTTGCTATTTGCGCTTCTTCTACTGCCTTTCTAGATCTTTACTTTGATTACATTTCTACAGATTATATGTGATAAATTATCAGTGTTCCAACATAAATTAATCATTTAGAAACAAAATAGTAATATCATAATTACATTAAAGTTTATATCTTCTTTCAGAGATCTAAGAAAACCTAAGGTTTGGTGTTTCTTTAATGACTAAACATCTAAAGATATAAGAATGTAGGTAGTTATCGTAGGTTTTATGATTATTGTATATTCTGGGGAAGAGGTTTAGAAATTAGTTTAGGCCGGGCACGGTGGCTCACGTTTGTAATCCCAGCACTTTGGGAGGCCGAGGCGGGCGGATCACGAAGTCAGGAGATAGAGACCATCCTGGCTAACACGGTGAAACCCTGTCTCTACTAAAAATACCAAAAATTAGCCAAGTGTGGTCATGGGCGCCTGTAGTCCCAACTACTCGGGAGGCTGAGGCAGGAGAATGGCGTGAACCCGGGAGTCGGAGTTTGCAGTGAGTAGAGATCGCATCACTGCACTCCAGCCTGGACGACAGAGCGAGACTACGACAGAGCGAGACTCCGTCTCAAAAAAAAAAAAAAAGAAGGAAAAAAATTATCTTACTTTAGAATATCATAAAATCATCATGAAGATTTTAAAAATTTTGGTCTGGTATATTGTATGAATCCCAGGGATTAAGAGAGGCAATTTTGCCCATAACAACTTCTAATATTCTCGGTGCTAAATGGTGTCAGTGAAACTGGTCCAACTGTCCCGTAGAACTGATGTTTATAGTTTCTTCCGAATAAACATATAAATTAACCCTCCCCCCCACGCCCCAAACACACACACACACTCTAGTCTCAAACTTAAGAAAGTTACGTTTGTCTTATTGAGTTCCTTTCTCAGGAAACCACCAATGGGGGGCTTCACAGAGACTACCAAAGAACTGAAACTTAACAGGTTACTGCATCTGGACGATGAGATACTAGATTCCCCACCCATCATGACTGTCTTACCTACCACCTGTTGTCTGTTGACAAACTCCTCTTCCTTACATCTCCCTAATTCCTATTTTCTCACACATGGTTACATTTCTTTCCTGTTATATAAATCCCTAATTTCAGTTGGTTGAAGAGATGGATTTGAGACTCATCTCTCACCTCCTTAGCTGCAATACCTCATTAAATTCTTCTTCCCTAGAAATATTCATTGTCTCAATGATTGGCTTTCTGTGCAGTGGGGAGCAGGACCTATACTGAACCCCTAGCATTTCAGTAACAGATTTTGGTTTCCTGGCCAGGAACACATTGCTCATGGCTCAGACTGCAGTGGGCCAGGAGTTTCAGAAACCCTCCTAAACAGTGGCTTCACCATTTTTTCGCCAGAGCTTGGTCTCATTCTCTCTTCGGCCCTGCCACTTCTGGCCCCAACCACACTTCTGATTGCCTAGGAAGAATAGCCTTTGACATTTGACATCTGAGTTTGGATGGCTGAGTGTCTTTTGTAGGTACCAGATAGCTGGATATGCCGTCCTCAATTTGGGGAATGCTGAAGGAATTTCCATTTGAAGGTTGAACAAGCCCAACCAATTCAGAGAGGAAAACACCCTGGCTGTTTCACTTTGGATACTTGGGGCTAGTTTGTTGCTCAGTATGTGGATTGTGTTTTGGTTATTGTTTGTGTGTATGTTGATGTAGTCACGGGAGGTCAGTGTTCTATCCCAGAATACAGCCCTTTGGGGTGCCTTCTTCATGGTTGGTCTGTATGGGCTTGTGAGCCAGGCCCTGAATGTGTCTATCTCATCTGATCTTTGAAGGTCTTTAAATGGTACTGTTGTCTTACAATTGGATTCATTTTGCTATTGAATGGGAAAGCAGGATGGAGTTTTGTGAACCTAGGCTTTTATGCTGCTGTTCTAAGCAGGGTTTGGTCAGGTTAGTACATGATGTTCTTCTGAGATGCTGTTTGGCCCGAGTGTTCTTTGGAGTCTGGGGAGGTTTGGCTTTTAAAAATCAAACTGCTGGCTGGGCGCGGTGGCTCACACCTGTAATCCCAGCACTTTGGGAGCCCAAGGTAGGTGGATCATGAGGTCAGGAGTTCGAGACCAGCCTGGCCAACATGGTGAAACTCTGTCTGTACTAAAAATACAAAAATTAGCCGGGTGTAGTGGCGGGCGCCTGCAATCCTAGCTACTCAGGAGGCCGAGACAGAAGAATTGCTTGAAGCCTGGAGGTGGAGGTTGCAGTGAGCTGAGATCGCACCACTGCACTCCAGCCTGAGCAACAAAGAGCAAAACTCTAGTCTCAAAAAAAAAAAAAATCAAACTACCTTGGAAACTGCTGCACCCAAAATATTGGTACAAAACCTTCACTGGATTACCTATGGGGGCAAACAAAGTTTACCCATGTGACCATATTTGTAAACTGGTGAGTTCATGTTGCTATCTGATGGCGAGAGTTTCAAGGTAAAAACTATTGGATCTTTGTGTGTGTATATACATGTTTAGATGTGTTTATCATATGTTGCATCTAACAAATTGGCTTTTAAATAAAAGAGTACTAATAAGTCCAGGCAATTTTCAAATTCATGTGACTTAAGTAAATCTTAAATAAACAAGCTAGCTTTACAATTATTGGTAAAATTAAAATAAAAGTTTCTTAGGAATTGTCAGCATACATTTTCATCTGGGTTTTATATTTGTCTTTGCTAGATATTTTGAAATATCAGAGTTCGGCACAGAAGGCTATAAAACTATAAAAGCAACCAAAACAAAATGATCTTTGTGCAAATTTATTTGACAAAACTAATATAATGTTTTTGGTTTAATAAAAACAGCTAAATCTTCGGAATTATTGGCAAAATAATCCATGTATTTAACTTTAAGTTTGTTACTATAAAACCTAATATTTACAGGTTATAAAATGGTTAACAAGGAAATGCTGATTTTGTCTAATACTTCAGTTCTTATAAGTAATCTAGATAAACTGCTAAAAAAAATGAAAGATTCCAGTACATGTGAATGGTATTAGTGCTGGTGAACATTTTGTAGAATATAAAAACAAAATTATTTTAGACGCTCCTTTGATGTCTGGGTCATTTCCAATTAAGAAAGGGTTATGATATGCAGAAATGTATTTTTTAAAATTGTAGAATGTTCTCATCTATAAAATCCAATAATTGGTAGAAGTTCAGGATTTCTTGCTTCCTAGGCTTTCACTAAAATGTAAGGGTACTTAGAATAAGAATTCTAGCTAATATATCATTCTGTATATAAAATGTGCCAAAGAAGATATGTTCTTATTGAAAAAAACAATAATTTTGTCTAATTCACAAGTCATCTAAAGGTTAATTCAAATTATGGACTATGGCAAAGTTTTGCCATAAAATAAAATGAGTGGTTACTTTTAAAAAATATATAGAATAAAACAGAAATTCCAAGTATGTCATTGTCTGTGTAAGTCATAAATTTTTTTTCCTGTTTCTCTGTGTGTCTATCTTCATGGCCACTCCAGCATGGCACATGTATACATATGTAACTAACCTGCACATTGTGCACATGTATCCTGAAACTTAAAGTATAAATAATAATAAAAAAAAGAAAAATGTAGTTGACTTCTTTAGCATAATAGTTTGGATAATTCTGTCATTAAAATACCCTTCTGCTTTTTCCAGAATAAATAATCATCACAATTAAAAAAAAATTGAAAATGTTTAGATAATAAAATATTCTTTGAAGCCCAATAGATAATTGGAGACATTTGACTAATTAACATTGTTCATAGTTAAAGCTCTTAGTGTTTATGAAGGTAAAATAAGAAATATTGTAAAGAAATACATTGGCAATTTGGCAATTCTTTTTTTAATATTGTTAAGCATGAAGCTGGATTTAGCATGGAGCCTAATTTCACATAAATGCTTGCTTTGTTTTACTTAACACTAAATTTGCTATTCTGTTTATTAGTACCAGCACTACAACATTTACTTGTCAAATGCCTGAAGAAAATTTCTTAATTGCATAAAATGCATTGTGGTATTTTGTAGACTTAAAGATATTCAGTTGTATATCAGGAACAAAATATCCACAACGTGTATGTTTTTATGTCCTGGATAGCACTGTAGCCTCCGATGTAAACTGAGTAAGATAAAATGTGGGGGTTGCTTTCCTGTTTATTTTGTTTTGCTTTTAATTTTTATTCATTTTCTATCTTTTCTTAGTTTTTATGTATATATGTATATATAAAGCACTTTCTTGTTGTTTTTTTGTTTTTTGGTTTCTAACAGAATGCTCATATTTGACTCCTTGAATAGTCATTTTGTTTCCTATACATTTGAAACAATTCATCATTTGTTCTGTTTATCAAAAGTCCCTAAGTTACCTTTGTCAAGCCTCCCAAAATTGATAGGACAACCTAGCCATTTAAAATTCAATATGTTTTTCTTACCTCTGATGACCTAGAGAGCTTCAAGAGCTTTGAGGATTCTGGAAATAAATAAAGAAAATTTTTTTTTTAAGTTCTGAACAGGGATAGTACATTATTTATTTTGTTATTTGGAAAAGTAGGTAGGAGTAGAAATGTTTAAATGGTATTTATGTTCAAGGTAACTTAATTCAGTCCATAATTTGAGTTGGTTTTTGATCTTTTCCTTTAGGTAATGAGGAAAAACTGATATGGTTACAAAGTTTTAATGTTCAGGAAAGATTGGCCTTGTTCTTAAGATAATTATGACGGCTGCGATGGTGTGTGTGGAGTGGCTGCTGTAAGGATGCTGGCTTCAGTGTGGGAGGTGCAGCTGGTGCTGCGTGCTTCAGAGATGGTGGGAGCCAGGAACAGGTGAGAGCTCTGCCCCCTACTGAGTTGGCAGGGCAGGACGCCACAGTACTGGGTTGAGCGATATCGGGGAAAATTCAGCCAGATATCGGGCGAAATTCACCCCCGATATTTCACGTAGGTTCTTTTCTATATTCCCTAAGTGTCGGATGGTCTGAGAAATAAAGGGACAGAATACAAAAGAGAGAAATTTTAAAGCTGGGTGTCCAGGATAGACATCACATGTTGGCAGGTTCCGTGTTGCCCCCTGAGCTGTAAAACCAGCAAGTTTTTATTAGTGATTTCAAAAGGAAAGGGAATGTATGAATAGGGTGTGGGTCATAGAGATCACGTGCTTCACAAGGTAATAAGATATCACAAGGCAAATGGAGGCAGGGCGAGATCACAGGACCACAGGACAGGGGTGAAATTAGAATTGCTAATGAAGTTTCGGGCATGCATTGTCATTGATAACATCTTATCAGGAGACATGGTTTGAGAGCAGACAACCAGTCTCACTAAAAATTTATTAGGCAGGAATTTCCTCATTCTAATAAGCCTGGGAGCGCTATGGGAGACTAGGGCTTATTTCATCCCTACAGCTTCGACCATAAAAGACGGCCACCTGCTGAAGCGGCCATTTTAGAGGCCTACCCTCAGGGACACATTCTCTTTCTCAGGGATGTTCCTTGCTGAGAAAAAGAATTCAGCGATATTTCTCCCATTTGCTTTTGAAAGAAGAGAAATATGGCTCTGTTCCGCCTGGCTCACTGGTGGTCAGAGTTTAAGGTTATCTCTCTTGTTCCCTGAACATTGCTGTTATCTTGTTCTTTTTTCAAGGTGCCCAGATTTCATATTGTTTAAACACACATGCTCTACAAACAATTTGTGCAGGTAACACAATCATCACAGGGTCCTGAGGCGACATACGTCCTCCTCAGCTTATGAAAATGACGGGATTAAGAGACTAAAGTAAAGACAGGCATAGGAAATCACAAGGGTATTGATTGGGGAAGTGATAAGTGTCCATGAAATCTTCACAATTTATGTTCAGAGATTGCAGTAAAGACAGGCGTAAGAAATTATAAAAGTATTAATTTGGGGAATCTGATAAATGTCCATGAAATCTTCACAATTTATGTTCTTCCACCATGGCTTCAGTCAGTCCCTCCATTTGGGGTCCCTGACTTCCCACAACAGAGCTGCACCTGTCCAGTCACAGTCCAGACTCCAGCATCCCTGAACTCTTGGGGACCCAGAGTGAGAACTTCATTGATGACTGCTTGGCAAATCTGATGGTGCTTTTTCCAGGCCCATTTGTGGTCACCCATGGACAAATTAGCATGCACTTCCTTCATTCTTAGCACATTAAAAACCCCAGGCTCAGCTAGACTCACACACTCTTTGAGACGACCTGCCTGAGGAAAGGAGCTACCCACTATGCAACTTCTCCTCTCCTCTCTTCTGAGAGCTAGACATTCACAGGGACAACTTGCCTGTGGAAAGGAGCTACCCACTCTGGGTCTCCTCTCTGCTGAGAGCTGGGCATTCATTGGGATGACCTGCCTGCAGAAAGAAGCTACCCACTTCGGGTCTCCTGAGAGCTGTTCTGTTGCCCAGTAAGGCTCCTTTCTTCCTTGCTCACCTTCCAGTTGTCTGCATGCCTTATTCTTCCCGGATGCGGGACAAGAACCTGGGACATGCTGAATGGTGGGACTAAAATAGCTGTAACACAAACAGGGCTAAAATACCCCCTGCTCTACACACACACTTGCCACGTTGTGGGTGATGAGAAGGAGCAAACAGCTGAGGCCCTTCATGGATTCCAGACCTAGGGGCTCCCCAAGGCGGGGCTGTGACATCCTCATTGGGGCTCTGTGGTTCCTAACATCTCCAAGCCTCTGGGCAAGGCTGTCAGTGGTATGCCTGTTCCACCCACAGCCTTGCACAGAGCTGGCACCTTTGCTGGCACCTGGAGCTGCCCACCCTGACACAGCCAGTGCCCTTGGCTGTGTACAGTGGTAAGACCTCATGCTCACTCACTCACACACCCCTCACTGATCCCTGCCTGGCTCACCCTTGGAAGGTGTGGGATCCAGGCTGGTAGCACAATCCAAGCACAGCCTGCCAGGCCAAGTAGGTGGAATGAGCCCAGTGAGCCCAAGCAAAACTCAGGCAAAGATGCCACCAGCCACAGAGGTTTCTGGCTGGAAAAGCAACCCCCTAAGGATCCTCTGACAATTATATTGACTGGGATTTCTCTAAATTACTGTACTTGTATTTAGCATTATTAAAATTATGTGATATTCAAATGGATTAAGTAGTAATAAAAAATGTGAGACTTTCTGGTAATTTTTTTGAACCCAAGATGTTTATCACTGATGGGCCTTCATGTGTCTTCATGAAAACAAAATATGTACAAGTGTCACACTAGCTTGAAGATTCTACTGGTGGAAGTTACCTAATTAGTTGTTAGTACTGTACCTAGAAACTGATCTTGGAAATGTGTGATGATACTCTTTTAAATAGCTTAAAAGAAAATATTGTGTGGTTATTCTTCCTTTGTCCTTGTTTCGCTGCATAGTCTTAAAGTGCAAGATTATTTACTTTTAAATAATCTTTTAAATAGCTTAAAAGAAAATATTGTGTGGTTATTCTTCCTTTGTCCTTGTTTTGCTGAATAGTCTTAAAGTGAAAGATTATTTACTTTCATACTGAATTTCCAAAAACAATATTTGCATTTACCATTTTTTAATGATGAGGAAAAGTTAATTGTGTTACTTGGCAAGTTTGCATTGAACCTATCACATTTTTTAATGCTTTGCTCACAGTACTTTCACTAGAGTGCTAGCAATTAGATGTATGCAAGGAGTAACCTTACCACATTAATACAATGTTTTGCCTAGACACCAAGTCATAGTGTTTTAATTTCTGACATGTTAGAGAGAATGATAGGACTTTCTTCAGTATAAATGTCCTATTAACTGCCAAATCTTGAGCATTGACAGCAGCCAAAGCCTTCTCTTCAGACCAGGGAAAAGGTGACAATCAAAATGGACTACTTTCAAGAGACTCAGGGCCAGAAACTAAAACTATTCAGTCCCTGTAGGCCCAAGTACTATTATGGAAGAAGTGGGCATGTGAGATTGTAAAAGCCAGTTCCAGGGATAAAAGTAGTTCAGAGTTTTTCTATAAATTAAACATTAATAGCAAAAGTACACTGATGCAAGCCAGCATTTAGGTATTTGTGTCAGAATAACAGGGTTTTCTTGGAGCATTCATCTGAACTTTAATAGCAACTTTAAAAAAGTTATAAAAGGTTTATGAAATTCTTACCTTATGGTCAAACTAATTTCAAATGTGAGGTGGTTTTAATTTTCCTTATTTTTATATAGATGTGTTGTTAATATGTGTTCCAGGATTGTATGAGATTTCTGAAATTCTGATATGTTTTAACATATGTTGTCAGTAATGATTATCATTATTATTCTAAATTTTTTATATGCCACAGAAATAACCAAATTTTATTGTCAAATGTGTCTGTCCTAAGACTTTTGTTATCCACAATTGTTTTGCTTTGATTCTTCTAAAAAGCAACTTATAATTAGCTACGGTCCAGGGCTTGCTTCTTCCAGGGAGTTCATGAAAAGGACTCTGGAATGCAGTTTTCTGTTAATGTTTGAGATTATGCCATTAGAAAGAAAATTTCTAGGACACAAATTAAAAGGCTTATGTTTTCAAAAAGATTGCTAACCCAACATGAGGTAGATCAGGAGTTGATTGCATAGAATGAACTAATGGAGGACAGAAATAATATTGAAACATTGCTGTTTTTTTTTTTTCAGAGTCTAGAGAATTTTTTTCTTTTGAAGTATTTATAGCCTTTAACAACTGAGTAGAGCGTACTTTTGTAAACAGAATTTAAAGCATGTTTCTCTCTTTGCCTGATTTCTCCAGAATTCAGAAACTGTGAATATTCTTTATTCAGGACAATGTGGTTGTTTGCATAAGTTCAATAAGAGTATATTTTATGTTATAATAGGACACAATTGTAGGAACTGATTATTTTCTCAGGGCTTTCACTGAAATGTCGTGTTTTCAGATATGAGTAGCCTGCTTTGAGAAACTGCTGTTAACTTTATGGAGCTGATGAGACCCCCTTAGAAGGATTGGCCTCATACCTTATCTACACATTCCTTTGCAGGGTTTCTGGCCTGTGGTTAAGTTGACAATTTCACTTTCTGACAGGTCCAGGAACCTCAAGTATCTCAAGTTGGGGCCTGGAGAAAAAGGGGTTCACTGAATACATGCAGGTATCTGCAGGTGCAGATAGATTCCTGGCTGGGCTCGGGAGGCCTTTGGAGGCCAAGTCTGAGATTCCCTGTGAGAGGTTCCAATGAAGCTAACTTAGGAGAGGTATATTGAAAATGATACTTGCTATATTTTTTGTGAGTAATCAGGCCAAGTGTAATGGGACTGAAGTTTATTTTGCAGGTAGGTTTATCCAGCTGTGATTTGTCTTTGGTGGAAGTGGGGGAATGGAGAGAGAAAAATTACATTTCAGAAGAAAACTATATAATTATATTAACCGTTGATTCCTGGGTGGACAGTGGCCACCCCTAGTATGAAGTTGCCCACAAAGACTACTCAGCATAAAGCAGGCAGAAAGATCCACGATGAGATTTCTCACGATTGAGAAATTGGTAAACAGCAAGAGGTGGCCTGAAACTGGCCCAATTGTTTCATAGAACTGATGTTTATGGTTTCTTCTGAATAAACATAGAAATTTACCCTCTATGTCTCAAAACTTACATTTGTCTTATCTGAATTCCTTTCTCAGGAAATCAACCACCAGGCCTCCAGATAGTATCAAAGAATTGAAACCTACCAGATCACAACATCTGGAGACACCAGACCCCTCACCTATCATGATTGTCTTACCCACCATCTGTTTACTGTTGATCAACTCCTCTCTGTCTTAACCCTCCCTAATTTCTGTTTTCCTGCACTTGGTTACATTTCTTCCCTCCTATATAAACCACTAAATTTAGTTCAGTTGAAGAGATGGATTTGAGACTGAACTCCTGTTTTCCTCAGCTGTAGCACTTGAATAACCCTCTTCCCTAACAACACTCATCTTAATGACTGGTTTTCTGTGCAGTGAGCAGGAAGACCTACACTGAATCTCTGGCATTTTGATAACATCAGTTATAATTTCTATTATCTCTGTATGCTAAGGACAATAACTTTGAAATATGGGGATAGTTCCAGTATTAAAACTAGAAAAAAAGTGGCAAAATTTTTTACATCAGAATGGGTAGTAAAATTTGTATAGCCCCTCACAAAGAACATACTGGTGTTCCAATGATATAAAACCTTCTGGGATCGTGAAAAGGCTGAAATTTTTAGACTTGATAAAAAATGAATAAGATAGTGTTGAAACCATTTTTAGTTTCTATCAATAATAATGAATGGAGCGAGGGGTGATGGTACGTTCCTGTAGTCCCAGCTACGTGAAAAGCTGAAATGGCAGGACTTTTTGAGCCCAGAAGTTTGAGACAAGTCTGGGTAATATAGTGAGACCCTGTCTCTAAATAATAATAATAATAATAATCAATGGAGCCTCTTGGTAGAATTGTATTTTTATCTTGTACTCCAAATTGTCCATTACTATGTGGCCACCACCCTCCAATTCAAGAGGAATTATATTTCTACATAAATTATCTTCCATAGCAGGTTTTCACATGTTCCAAGATAAATTATTTTAATCAAAAATAAGGTAAATTTGAATTCTTTTAGCAGATAACAACTTTAAGAAATTTTTAATCTCAATTTTATGTTTATCAAGATATTCATTCCAAGTTTCATTTAGTATCTACGTGGATACGCATCCCTCATTAATTGATTTCTGGAGACAAACCATTTTCTGAAAGACTTATCTTTTATTATCTCATAGATTTGTTTTTTCCCAGTCACCCAGCTACTGCAACTGTATTTTACTTCTCTACTTTGACTTCCACATTTTTTTCCCTCTATTCTTCTGTAAGTTCATTTATTGTTAACACTTGGTGTCATTAGCGCTAATTTTATTCTCTTATTTTCTAATGAACAATTATAGCAGCATTTCTAAAGCCATAATGATGTAATAACAAAAAAAATAAAGATTTAATAGATATATAGGGTAAGATTTTTACCAACACTTTAAAATCTAGCTTGGTTACCCTGAAGCAAAAACAAAACAAAACAAAACAATGGTAACTAGAGCAGAACTATTTTGCTCTATAAATATTCCATTATCTGCATCATTCAGAGTTGTCTGTTATAAATACTTATTCTATTTTTATTTTAATTGATAAATATTTATGTATATTTATATAAATACAATGTACAATATGATGTTTTGATCTACATATATGTTGTAGAAAGATTCAATCAGGGTAATTAACTTATCCATCACCACACAAATTTATCATTTTTTGGAGTAAAGAGAATGTTAAAAATTTATCCTTTTAGCAATTTTCAAATATATAATACATTCTTATTAATTGTATTAATATGCAGTATAATAGATCACTCAATTTATACCTCCAGTCTAACTGAAACTTTATATCCTTTGATCAATATCTCTCAAGTCCTCATCACTCCTTCTTCTCCCACCGCCAACCCCAGCCTTCGGTTACTACCTTTCTATTTTCTCTATTTCCATGATTTATTAAAATTTTCCCTTAATCCATTATTAAGCCATCCAAATCAACCACCAAAATAATATTTAATTTAAAGCACATAAAACTTTAATTGTTTAAGGCTTATTATAGTTGTTAGACATGTTTTAACTTGGACATATTTAGGAAATGCAAGGTATACTTACAAGCTAAAAGGTAGAAGGAACATTGCATTAAGAGTCAAGAGAAATTATATTCCTCTTGGCTCATGGGGGTGGATCCTTCATGGCTTGATAAGTCTTTATGATAGTGAGTTTTCAAGAGGTCTGGTCATTTAAACGTGTATGGCACCTCAACAAACTGTAAGAGCAGCCTGAGGGGCTGAACCCTGCAAAGCCGCAGGCTGGGCAGAGCTGCTTAAGGTCTTTGGAGCTCACCCTTATACCAGTGTGCCATGGATGGAGGACATGGAGATAAAGTAGATTATTTTGGAGCTTTAATATTTAATGACTGCCCTGTTGAGTTTCAAATTTCCGTAAGGCCTGTAGCCTCTTTCTTTTCACCTATTTCTCCCTTTGGGAACAGGACTGTTTACTCAATGCCTATACATTCCATTTCAATGCTGTAGGTGGGGCCTGGTGGGAGGTGTTTGAATCATGGGGGAAGATCCTTCATGGCTTAGTGCTGTCTTTGTGATATTGAGTTCTGGTCATGTAAAACTGTTTAGCACCTCCCCCCAGCACCCACAAGCATCTCTCTCTATGTCTCTCTCTCTTGCTCTTGCTTTTGCTATGTGATGTGCTTGCTCCTGTTTCATCTTCCACTATAATCTTAAGCCTCCTCAGGACTCCCCAGAAGCAGACACCACTATGCTTCCTGTGCAGCCTACAGAACTGAGAGTCAATTACACCTCTTTTCTCATAAATTACCCAGCTTCTGGTATTTCTTCATATCAATACAGTAACAGCCTAATACTGATACTAAAACCAATTTGTGAAAGATAGACAGGAAATGAGATTTCCAAGGTGCCTAACTATTACCAACAGCATTATTTGCTAATTTCAAAGAGAAAACATACTTTCAGAAAATAGTGTTGTGGCTGTTATCATCTTAGTTAAATTCTCTTAAATAGCATATTTATATCAGGTCAACTTTGCTTCCTAAGGTAATGTAATACGCAGTTCCCATTAAACTGATAAACTAATATTGTCAAAATGTTTAACATGAATTTAACAGTATATGAGGTTGGCAAAGTTTTTATCTAGAGGGTAGGTAGTAAATATTTTAGGCATTTGGGTCACATACTATCTATATTGTATATTGTTCTTTTTCTTGTTTGTTTGTTCCTTTACATGTAAAACTCCTTCTTAGTTTGAATGTTGTTTAAAAATAAATCACAGGCTGGGGTTGTCCTACAGGTCATATTTTATTGACTTCTGGCTTGAAGGAATACTTGAAAAACCCTACAAGAAAGTGATCTGACAAATCTAAATTATAATACATTCTAAAAGACAGTCAACGCTTCTTTCTTCAAGATGTAAATGGTATAAAAATATAAATAAGGGGAGAGGACTGTTTAACCATAAATATGACTAAAGAGATAAAACTAAATACAAAAACCTGCATACTATACATGAAATTGGATCCTGCTTCAATAATATTTTACAACTTATAAAAGACATTTTAGAATATTTTCCTTTATTTCAAAGGAAATATCCATTATTTCAAAAAATGTTAGTATTTAAAGTAGTGATTACTTCCCAGTATTTCTTAATATTAGTAAAACACTACATCATCTGAAGAAATAATTGCCACATATTTGAAAGTCTATGTCTGCTCGTTTTAAATAGTAGTTTTCAAAATGCCTAAAGTTGCAAATCTGGACTACTCAAGTCAATAGTCTACTTGAGAACTGGATAATTTAGGCATAGATATTCCACTGATATATTCTGGAGCACCATGTAGATAAATCTTTGAAAAAAAAAACAACATTCTCAGTCTTCTCTTTATGTTTAACTCTATGGGCACATGTCAGTAATGAGCTTAGTATCGGTAATCACAGAGATAGCATGTGTAAGCAGACTCTTGAGATCAGCTAGATCATTTCCTATGGGAATTTACAAGGATATCTTGCTCCTTTCTTTTCTTTACTTGTATATGAATTACTTGATACAGGTTTGGATAATTTAAATGTTTGCTCAATCCTCTACACGCCTCTGTTCTCTCACTACAGCCCAAAGAAAGATGTACATTGGTCTTTGTAAGATGAGTTATGTGATTCAGCCCTGCTAACTGCAGTATTTGTAGGGTGGCAGAGTAACTATTTCAAGCTCAAAGTCATTAAAAATGTCATCTGATATCTAACTGACTTAGGGCATAATACCCCCAGCAACAAGTAAATCCGTGGACTCAAAGACAGGCAGGCCTCCAATTAACCCTCCCCAGCTACTAAAACTGAAGAACTACCTTTCATATATTGTCACTGTGTTGGTGATTAGTCAAATAATTTATGAAAAAATATACATAGTTATTTGGAATAAATGAATGCTGAAATTACTAAACATCAACAGCTACAGTGGTTACTGCTGCCCATTCCTTGATCTTGTTTAAAAAACAAAAACAAAAACAAAAACAAAAAAAACCTCTCATGATTCATATTAGTATAAAAGATGTTTCTGATGAATTGTCAACCTTAGATCCTCCATACTCGTCTCACTCCGGAAGAAAACAATAAAGACCTCCAGATGTCAAAATAATTCTGTACTATCCGGTACCTTGTAAATTAATATGTACACAAACACCCACTCAGAACTACACATAAAACAAAGCCTTCTTTTAAATTCTGACAGATCTTTTCAAACTTCATGTTATCCCTCTAGCAGTTTTTAATGTAGCATCAACCTTAACAAAAACAGTCTTGTGTTGTGAAGACAAGAATTATTTCCTGAAATTTTGTTTTAATTGCACGCACAGATGTGTGTGTGTGTGTGTGTGTGTTTGTGCCTTTGTGTGTGCTAAGTGGCAATGGAAATTTGTAATTAGGATACAGTAATGAAAAGTTCGAAGGTTATAATACTTGAAAGGATAACAGCATTAACAAGACTAGATACTTTTTCTGCTTTTACTACCCTAAGAAGAATAAGGGCTTTAGTAAAAGCCATCTACCACCAACATTTTAGGATTATAAAATATTTTATTCACGAGAGTTGTAGTTAGAGAAAATTCATAGAAGCCACCTTCTATTTCACTTATCGAGACTGTAAGCAAAATTCATAATTATTATTATCTTTTATGATTTCTTTTTATGTATAATTTCAATTTTTCATTAATGGCCATTTTATGTCTCATTATTCTTCATTATTCTTTACAAGAATTATTATTATTTAGGTGTTACCTGTTCCAAGACTAAAAGAAATAGCTATATTACTAAGCATGAAAAGAAATCTAGTTTAACTTTGCAATCGAAAACTAAAGAGCGAAACAGAATCCTTGATTAACAACCAAAGTTTCTCATTTTGTTTACAGCAAAAATGATTAATTGTCTTCTAATGGGTAAATCAATACTTTGCTTAATGGTATCTGTTTCTCAGAACTGCATACCTCTAGTTCATTAACTCTTCTAAATAGCATCCTGCCTTGGAAAACTGCACAAAATGTGCTGATGTTTCTTTTAAAGTCTTGATAAATCTTCTGTTCTCTTTGTCTTAATCAGTCTCTCACTAAGTCTGCATTACTAACAATACAAGTATAGTGTTTTAGTATTCTGATACAGTTTACATAAGTAATAGGAGAAAAAATGAGAAGACTATTGTTCAAGGACTTATAATAGCAATAAGGCTAGCAATGGACCAATCACTCATTACAGAAACCCATTATGCACCAGCAAGTCTAATAAGATTGTACAACCTGAAGTAAAAAACTAAAAAAGGAAGAAATAATAAATAAATAAATAAATACATTGATGGAGTTTTCCAGTATGCAGATAGACTAAGGGGCTATTATCCATTAATTTAACAAATATGCTGGGAGGCCTGACTATGTGATTGGCTAACATAAGCAGCAAAGACAGGCAAAGCCCCTGAGCTCATGGAAATTCCTTTCCAGTGGGTGATTTAAACAATAGAGAAGCCCATCAATAAATTAACGAGATAAATTCATTTAGAATAAGTGCTATAAAGATAACAAAGAGGGACTTTGGGTAGGAGGCATAATGTAAATTTGGCTTGCAGTGAATAGGTCGCTGAGGCACTGATGTGTCAGCTGAGGCTTACTTGAATGACAAGAAGTCAGCCATGTCATTCAGGCTGAGGTGGCAACAGGTCCAAAGGCCTTACACAGAAACAATCATGGTACAAATAAAAACAGAAGGAGGGCAGTCTTAATTTCATCTAAAGAAGCTGAAGTCTTATTCACTACCCACATAATACTTTTCAAAGGAAATAACAGAATAGTTGAAAACATAATATTGATAAAATGATTATAAGTCTCTTCCCTGCATTTGCCATGCATAAACAACAACTTATAAAAAAAAAAGGTATTTATATCACAATCCATCTCATAATATTATACCATCTCTCTAGTCTCTGGACTCTTTCTCTTTTTCAGGCTGTTAGCAATAGTGCTTCCCTTGTTCTCTTCTTTCATAGGAAAACCCATTCAAATAAAACAAAAGCCAGAAATACAAGATTAATACTTTCAACCCTAAAGAATATTGCTCCCTTGAATCAACAAAATACAAAGAAAATACACAATTTTTGAAGAGGAATAACTGAAAGAGGATAAAAATATATCAAGAGAGTAAACACAAATAATCTCAAATGATTTTCTTGTTACACACACACACATACACGTGCATACACATGCATTTTAGAGAACTATGATATGATTAATGCAGGAGACAGAAAAACATATAACTACACATACTGAAAAAATCGTTATATTTATTAAAAGTGGACAAAGTGGAGAAATTGCCAGAAAATATATAATTGAGATTTCAGACATAAAGAAACATACAAATGACCAAACTATCAGTGCTTCTATTTCTGAAATTGAGACAGAATATAAGCTTAAAGCAAAGCTGCTTAAGAAATTATGAAATTAAAATATGGAAGACATTTATAATGTCAAATATACTTAGACGTGGAAATTAGTTAATTAAAGTGCTATGGAGTCTTTTCTTAAACGGAAAACTAAGGTCTCTTCTAATTGTGGTTGTGTTACTCTCAATCCCTGATACACAGATTTATATAGAAGGAATTCTAGGTTGTTTGACTTAAGATTTTACATACTTTAAATTATTCATGGTTTAAAAATGAAAACAATTGAAACATAAGAATTAATTATAAGACATTTTTGTTTTCTTTCAATTTTTCAATTTAAACAACACAGACACAATACTTAGGAAATAATGGGGAAGAAATAGAAGTACATTAATAGGTCATGATGTCAATAAGAGGAGTGGAAAGACAGAATGCAATTTCAAAGAAAATTTTAAACATCGAAATGAAAAAGAAAATGAAAAAAGGGATCAAGAAAATGATGAAAAGTCATATTACAGATTAACTCAAAAAATGGCATGATGAGTACTTGAGCCACTGTGTATGAAAAACATACTAATAGAGACATAGCACTCAAAACTAAGGCGAGAAATCAATTTTCAATGCCTCCAGAACATCCAAACAATACTAAATCTTTTGGTCCATTTCTGACAACAGGAAGAGCCAATTAAAAATTGCCTCTTGAAAAACCATTTCTCCCTTGGCACGAAGTATATTTCTGAAGCCAATTTTGGGAAACACCCCCATTTTCCTTGTAGGTCTTCATTTTTCTGAAAGTTACTTTGTATTGTATCTCTTCCTCTTTTATTTAAAAATAATCAAGTTGATACTTATTAACTATTTTGTTTCTTGCTTTATTATTCATAGATATCAAGGTTATGCTTGCAGTCAAAAAAGATATATTAAAAATATTGTGTGGTCATTTAAGAACTCAGTCATATAAGTTTTGAGTATACAGTATTGCAATACATATAATTGTTTTCTAAAATGTTCAAAATTAAGATATTTGGTTATAACAATTTAAAAATTAGATATTTTGAAAAATGATAAAGATCTGTTTTGCCAGGTTTTATTGTCAAAAGGTAATTTAGCTACCTAACTGTGGCCATATCTTTCTCCTCTATAAAGCCAATGTTTCAAAATTTGTTTTTGCTTAGTAATTCCATTTCTTCAGCTCTAATATAGTTGGTAGCCTACAGTGCCCAGTGAAAACATTCCACATCAAGGTCATCAAATGTCTTCTGTATTTCTAAATTCAATGGTGCTTTATAAAATTGTCATCTTGAGCTTTCTTCAGTGTTTGTCAGAGCCACTCACTATTTCTCTCTGAAACACTTTTCTTTGCTTCCACTAAACCATGTCTTTTTATTTATTCCTTCTAAATTTCTGACTCCTTTGAAGATTCATTTACTTAACGACCATTACATTTTAACATATGTCAGGACAGTGCAAGGCCCCTTTATCTTTCCTCTTCAGAATCTCTCCTTAAAAAAAGGTACCATAATGTTAACATTTACATGGGTGTCTTTTCAATATATGACTCTAGTCCAGACTTTTCTTTTAAACTAAGTACCAATATAACCAACTGCCTATTAATCATCTCTTTGCATGTGTCAAAATTACTTCAAGCTCAATATATGCTACATTAAAGACATAATTTATCTCCTTCTGGGAATCAAATTCTCTCCAGAGTTCTCAAATATCATGGTTGGGATACTATGCGTTTATTGCCCCCAAGCTGAAACATAGGAATCATATTTGATAACTTCCACTTCTGTATTAAATTTGTCACTAAATCCTTTTGATTTTACTTTCAAACTACATCTTACAAATCCATTCATGTATTCTCTGTCTACATTTCCCATCTGGATGTGGCCTTTTGCATGAGATGATATGAAACTGCACCCTAAAGGGCAATTCTTCATCATCTATTAGCTCCTCCAACAGTTCTGTGCACAGTACCTGAAAAAATCTTTTGAAAATGCAAATGTGGATATGTGTTGCCAATTTTTCCTAAGATAAAAAACACAATTCTTATCAAAATCTAAAATTTCTGCAAGAATTGGCACCTGGTTACCACACCAGGCAATTTGAACCTCTTTTTCTCTCTCAATTACTGTGTTTCCACCACTCAGACCATGATTTATCTCACATCAGGGCATCTGCCTTTCCCTTAACTCAGAATATATCAGCAATCCTCCTCCCACTCCCTCTGCTTAGTAAACTGCAGTACCTACCATCAATCTCAACTCAGTGATCCTATAAATAATTTCAACTCTCCTTGTAATGTGCTTCCTTATATACCCATATTTTTATTTAAATAAATTATTAATGTATAATTAAATTGTTGTGTGATTATTCAATTAACATCTGTCTTCCTCACTAAATTGCAAGATTCATGAAGTCAAATTCAAGACATTTGCTTAACCTGTTATCCATAGGAAATAAAATAGCACTTGGCCCCAAATAGGTACTTAAACATTTTAAAATCAGTGAATATGCAAATGAATAAGAAACTGAATGAATAAATATAAAATTTCAACCCTAGAACAGTATTCAAACTATTAATTATATTCCTAAAATTTAGGCCACTTTAATCTCATTGAATCTTCTAGTCTCTATGAATTCAATCTCACCATTGAAGTTTCTTTTAGTTTCTAGTATTCATTTAGATATTATGATATAAAAATATACTGAACAGTTACTTTATAATAAATAATTACTTAAGGCAAAAGGCAAAAGTAAGAAGAAACTGTATACTATCATTAAAATATATTTACATTTTTGCATAAATGAGAAAGTAGTTCTGCATTTAAAAGTTGACTGGATAATACTAACACTCTCAAAGGGAGGAATACACCTTGAAATTTTTTTTTTATAATTACAAAGTGGAACTTTAATAGCAATAACTTATGCTACAACTTGTTTAAAAGAAAAATAAACGTGTCTATTATAAGGAAAAAATTAGGTGAGATGCAATACACAAACTTATTTCTTCACCTTTGCTAATTGTGACCCCACTCTTACAATATTTACAGTCATATTTTCTATGGGCCTCACTTTCCATTTATATGGGGAAAAATAAATTACATTGCAAATGGCAAGTTCTGCTCTTATTTGCAAAATATATAAAGAAATGATGCTTATAACCAGACCAGAGTGCTGCTCTTCAATAAAATATTTTTGTACTAGTGAGCAGCACTTCTATACAGTGAAAAAATGAAAAAATGAAAAGATCAGAGAAATAAAAATATATTTTAGAAAGAGGATGTTATATTCATTTTGCTACAAGCTACAATGCAAAACGTATAGTCTTGTCTTTCTAATTCATTGAATAACAAAGAAATCAGCATGTTGATTATAATGAATAAAAAATGTTTCTTTAGACTACTCTGATCAGATACCTTACCAGAGACACATGCTACTTTACTATATTTAATAACTGAGTAACTGTAAAAATACTTTTTTAATTGAAATTAGTCCTCCAAGCATCACACTATATAAAATGTTTCTTTTATGAGAAATACTTAAAACTATTGTGTCGCCATGTCCTCAGTTCCACAGTGTCAGATAAAAATTTTCTCAATTTAATATTGTCTGTCTCTGGCTAGGCGCAGTGGCTCACACCCGTAATCTCAGCACTTTGGGAGGCCGAGGCGGGCAGATCACTTGAGGTCAGGAGTTCAAGATCAGCCTGAGCAACATGGTGAAACCCCATCTCTACTAAGAATATAAAAATTAGCTGGATGTGATGGTGTGTGCATGTAGTCCCAGCTGCTTGGGAGGTTGAGGTGAGGGGATCACTTGAGCCCAGCTACCTGGGAGGCTGAGGTTGCAGTGAGCCAAGATCCCACCACATTTTACACTTAAAATATATTTAAATTTATATTTTAAATTTATTTGTAATATAAATTTAAAATCTAGTTAGTCTATCTCTTCTTTCTTGGCCAGTAGGCTCCACAGAGAACACTTTTGCTGTCGATCTCCTACCACAGGGACTTATTCTACCTCAATGCCTCACTAAACTCATTTACATTATTTATTCATTATAGAGACACAAAGCCTGGAAAACGCAGACATACTTTTATAAAACACAATCAACCCACTTTTCCCAGCAGTGTATTTAGGAGGTGGGTTTGAGTACTGAGCGCTGTTCAATGTACTTAGGAAGTCCAGTCAAAAATAAGCGAGGATAGGTCCAATTGCTGGGTCCTTGGCAAGATTATGTTATATGGTCAACCGTTACTGACAAAGAGAGTGTCTGTCATGGTCCTGGCGGAAAACAGAAAATCCACTAAAACTGGGTAATTTATGAAGAGTTTAATATAGTAACTATGTGAAAGATTTGGACAGAGAATGAGGAAACCACAGGAGAAGGTTGTTCCCTGCAGCTAGTATCAGTGGGCCAGTTCTGATTGTCCTGCAGCAGATGCGCTAGGTGCCTTGTTTTATGTCCCCTGAACCTACCTTTGATTTCAGCTTAGGGAAGCTCAACAGTTCTGTGCACACTGCAACCCCTCTTCATTTGTGTTTTGGAATTTTTCAGAACCCACAGGAGATCTATGAGGGTAAAAACTGCATAGAAGAGCAGGGGAGTTAATATTCTAGAATAAATGGGGTGGGCTGGGAATTTGTAAGGGCCTATGCTTTCCATCCTTCAGAGAGAAAATCCAGAAGAACATTCTACAAGGTTCCTTAAAAAGTTCTCAGCAGGCTTGAGTTGTAATTGACCAAATTTTAACCACCTCAATGACCTTTTTTTTTTAAAAAAAAAAAAAAAAAAAAAGACTGTGGGTACAAACTAGGTGTATATATTTGTGGGAAACATGAGATATTTTGATACAGGCATACAATGCGTAATAATCACATCAGGGTAAATGTATTTAGCACCTCAAGCCCTTATCTTTTCTTTGTGTTAAAAACAATCCAATTACACTCTCCTAGTTACTTTATAATGTACAATAAATTGCTGTTAACTGTAATCACTCTTTTGTGCTATGAAATAATAGATCTTATTTATTCTATCTAACTATATTTTTGTACCCATTAACCATCCACTCTTCCCTAGAACCCATCACCTTCCCCAGCCCCCGGTAACTGGCATTCCACTCTTTATCTCCATGAGTTCAATTGTTTTAAGTTTTAGCTCCCACAAATGAGTGAGAACATGTAAAGTATGTCTTTCTGTGCCTGGCTTATTTCACTTAACCCAGTAACCATCATAAACATTTTTGCAAATGACAAGATCTCGTTCTTTCTTGTGGTTGAGTAGTACTTCATTGTGTATATGTACCAACTTTTCTTTATGCAATCATCTGTTGATGGACACAGGTTGCTTCCAAATCTGGGCTATTGTGAACAGTGTTGCAATAAACACAGAAGTGTGGACATCTCAATATACTGATTTCCTTTCTTTTGGGTATATACCTAGCAGTGGGATTGCTGGATCACATGAACCAAATAATCCAGTAACATACCTTTTATTGATTTTCTCTTCTGTCTTGTCTTGATTCTGGGATAATTTCTAATAAACTCCTTCTAATCATATATTTTTCTCAATTCTTCATGGGAGAAAAAAATAAGATACACCCCTGGGCCCTAATGAGTAAGAGTATAAAGCAGTTACACTCACACACACACAGAGGGAGAGAGGGAGAGAAGTGAGTGCAAAAAGCTATCAGATAAAAGTTCTAACATTAGTCAAAGAAGGTATGTGTATGCATCTATCACAAAGAGAAAAAAGGGAAATAGAGACCCCAACTTTACTTTCTTCCTTTTCTCAAGACTGCTGGCCTTCCCTATTGGCCAAATCAACCAAATTTCAAAAGACAGACAAATGTATTTGTGTAGTTCCTACAAGTCAGCCACAGAAGAAAGGGGCAAATAGAACACCTCCATTCAGCACAATGCAGAAATCTACATTCCAAACCTAAATTAATTATGCCTCCTTCTACTTTCTCCCATAACTCTATTTCCCCTCTTGCTGTTCTAATATAGTTTAACTTATATGATAATACTAATGGGAGTGTATTATGTGTGTAAAATATAGTTTGGAAAAATAACACAATATCTTCCCATCTATATATGTTGAGCAACTTTTTCCTGTTTTATGAATGCACTTAAGTTCAGTATCTCCAGAGATTAAAGATGAGATAATTGCTAATTAAAATAATAACTGGAAACATTTCTACCATAAAAATACATTTTGTTGCCTGACAGTGTAATATGTGAATGCTTAAATCCAAATATGTAAATCACATGTATTATTGAATAAGCATGTTCAAAAGTAGAATATCCTCTATATGCCCAAGAGAAATTTTACAATAATATGTCTTTGGAGCTTTAAGTATTCAATAAATTATTATCTAGTGGCTACAACATGTAAACTTTGACTTTGAGGGAATATAAATATATAACATACAGTAATCTTTAAGGACAATTATAATGGGATAGTATACCTCCAAAGGCCTATTAGAGCTGAATAAAAACTCAGTGGTCTATAGACTAATTGTTCTGTGTTCAGTAGTGAGATGATGGGAAAAGTGTTCCCACAATTATCAAATTTTAATTTTATATCAGTGGCCAGCTGACACTCTTAACTCTGAATTAGCTGACATTTATTGTTAGCTCTCATATAATGGACAAATTAACATATTAAAAAACCTTCAAAGTAAGCAACAATTTAACATTTATATTTGTACTCCAAAACAGCAGTAAAGACTAGAAATTGTGAATGTTATTTTCAAATAAACTTGAGGTAAGAAGAAATTTGTCTTGAAGAGTAACCAATTTTCATCTACCCATTAACCTATTGATGTTTAGAGGCCAGTAATATTTTAAGATTAATTTTGCATTGCAGTATAATCTGGAAAAAATTAATGCGAAAAAGTTGATCTATGATGAACATTTAGGGAACCACAGTTGTCTTTCAGTACAAAGAGCGGGGATTGATTCTAGGACCATCACAGATACCAAAATTCATAGATGCTCGAGTCACGGATATAAAATGATGTTGTATTTGCACCTAACCTATGCATATCCTCCCTTATACTTGAAATCTTCTCTAGGTTATTTTTAATACCTAATACAATGAAGACATTTTGTAATTAATTGTAATACTGTATTCTTCTTTTTATTATTTTATATTGTTGTATTGTTATTTTTTATTGTTTGTTTTCAAGTATTTTCAATCTGTGGTTGGTTGAATCAGCAGATGTGGAACCCAGGGATACTGAGGAATAACTGTACTGCAATAGTCTATGAATAAGGAAATAAATGTGTCTGAATGAGGATAAGGTAGGGATAAAGAAAAGAAGCACTATTTGAAGAAACTTTTTAAAGAAATGAAACAATTGTTATCTCTAAAACTTTTAGGTTTGGAAGTCAAGTGCTTTATAAAAATAATAGTTAGAATAATGTGATAAATATCTTTTGTTTTTCAAGAGCAGCTAGAACATTTTGTTGACATTGAGGCTAGATGTTGTGGAATTCCCAAATTATGTTAGCACACTGATAAAATATATACCTCGTATAGGATAAAATACTGTGGATTTCTCTAGTGTATCTTAGAATATAATACATGGCATAATTTAATATAGTTTTCTTTTCTCAGCAGAAAACATCCATTATCAAGTATCATAACAAAAACCACAATGCTATCAATTCACAAGATCCCATAAGTAATTTTATTCTTTTAATTGTATTCAAAACTATCTTATTTTGCAGCTCTTTATCACCTTTAAAGAAATGCTCTAAATCTTTTTTTATTATAATATTACATTATCAATCACTGACACGAAGTCATGAGATTTTAAAGTTCTAGATGACCTAATAGTCAATTCCTTTTTATTACAGACGAATACATTTATTTCCACTGAACTTACATTACATCAAGAAGTTAATATAATAAACTCTAATTCCCAGTTTAAACATTTACCCAGAAATTACATGTAGATATTTAATCCTCTCACTTCAAACATAATACAACATTTGAACTCATGTGTTTTTGTTTGTTTGTTTGTTTGTTTTTAACAAGCCACCTTTATTTTTTAGGAGACAATTCTCCATGGTTCTCTTGCATTTTACATGACTTTCAAATGAGACAAGGACTACCCCTTTTTTTTTCCTTAGATTTTTTTCAAGTTCGTTTTCATAGCAAACAACTGAAAACAACTCAGGGTCTAGACCTGTAACAAACTGCACTGTGTGCAAGTGCCATCTGGCCCTCTTCATGTTAACTGGGGCTAGGAGAATCACACAAAAATTCTGATGCTGTGACTCCTGCTGTACTAAGAAATAAACTGCCCTTTGTCTCTGACCCAGGAATCCTGCATCTGTTGCCAGTATTCATGAAACTGTGGCCAACTAATTTGTCAGTCTGAAAGTAGAGCAACCTCTCATACCCTTCGGAGTTCTTGGCACTTCTTCTCACTTCTGTAAATTAATCCAGTCTTAAAAGCCTAAAACAAAAGTCATCTGTAATAGTATGTTGAAGTGGAATTATTTCTGTTTCAATACTCAACACAATGTCAATAGAATAGATATTAAGAATAAAAAAAACCATAAGACACATATAAATTGCATTACTAGAAGGGAAGTAAAAGAAACTCTACTACTCTTGAACCCCCAGCCAAATCAAGGTAACAGAAAGAAGTCACAAAAGAGCTATGTCATTTTTGGAAATTCTCAGCAGAGTAAGTGATACTGAGTGTCTTTATTTCCTCTCAAAGAAAATCGTAGTGGATTAATATTTTCTCCCTCTCTCTATATATAATATATATGTATAATTATATATATATATATAATTTCTTCTCCTTCCACTCTTCATATAATATTCAATTAATCAATTTGAATAAGCTTGGATTCAGGCACTTTTATTGAGCACTTACTGTGCAAATACTCCATGCAAATAATTTAGGGAAACAAAGAGAATAAATAATCCCTTTCTACAAATAGCTGATGAGGGGATTTGGGCATGTAATAGTAATTAATTGAAACACAGAGTGTAGTAAATGCTGAAAAGATGGATAAATATAAAGTAATGAGAATGCAAAAAAAAAAAGAAGACTTGATTTCACCTGGAAGATGGATGCAAATTTTTTAATGGGCTTTGAAAGCATTGGTTAGATTTTAAATGAGTATGTTGTAATAGGAGAGAAAGACAAGCAAAACAAAGGGAAAAACAGATATATGGTTAAGGGATTTATTTGTTAATCTATTACTACATTTTTTTCATTTATCCTTAGATCATTTTGTGAAAGGGAAATACATCTTGGGATCTCAAACTCATTAAGCCAGAGGGAAAAGTCAAGCTGGGAACTGGGTCACACAAATCTGCATTCGCCTTTTCGTTCCTAAATAAGATGGCTACAAGATGAAAGGATATACACCTCCCTCATGTTTTACAGATGAGAAAATTCTAGTGGGCTCCAAGATCTTAACTGTAAAGGTTTTCTGTTAAAATTTACCATGACAATGTAAATTGATGCCTTATCTTCACAGGTGCATAGGACAGAACTCAAAGTCATCTCTCTGCCCACCTCCCACAAATGCATATCTGACTGTACCCCTTGCCCTATTATCTATCTTATCTTACGCAAAAATGCAGATTCACAGAGCCAGGCAAAGGCATAAATGACTATTGCCCCCTACCCACCTCTTACATGCAAAATGTTTATTTCTCAATATCCCACCATTTCCCTTTTACATTTGGAGCTCTCAAAATCATCTTCAGAGAAAGGCATAGACTTGTCTCCCAGGTGTGTTCTTAACTTCGGCAAATAAACTTCCTGAAATGATTGAGATTTGTCTAGGTCATTGTTCTTGATTGACAATTTCAACATTCTTTATATCTAACCTTTGTTCAGTTCAATCTATCTTGTTACTCTTCCACCACAAATATGTTACTAAACCATCTCTTTCTGGTATTATTTTTCTCCAAAAGACTTAACATGGTGTTTCTCTGATGGGGGACATTTAGAACCTCACAAAATGACTTCCCTCTTTAGCTTTCTCACATTAACTACTGTTATTTTCCACCAAAAAGTTACTGAATACTATGTGTAAGTTTGAAACGTTTATTGGAAATAAGAAGGGATGGAGAGGAGCAAGTCACTATGGTAAATTATAGGATGTGTTCGGGTGTCTTTCTCTCCATCATCCTTCAGAATTTGGTCTTTTTTGAAGGTTTTCTCAATCCTATTTTTCCCTGATTACCCCTGAAAGAAGTGAGTCTTGACCTTTAGAATATCCCCATAATATGTTAAAATAAAACTTTAAAATCTCAAATTAAAGTATAGATATTCTTCTTTCAAAACAATAGCATAAATGTCTGGCTGTTGTTGTAGATGTTGGGTTCATGGGCAAGTTCAATTTGTGAAAATCCAATAAGTGATGTAAATCTGTGTACTTTTCTATATGTATCTTGAACATCAATTAAGAACATACCGTCACTTGTGAAGAAAGGCACATTAAGAAGTAATAAATGGGTCTGCATATTTGCTAACTGTTCTTTTATTATAGTAAATTTGTTTCAATCATGGCTATTTAACAACCCGGAAGAACCTGAGGACATCATGTTAAATGAAATATGCCAAGCACAAAAAGACATATACCTCATAATCTCAGTCGCATGGTGGAATCTAAAAAAGTTGGTCTCATAAAAGTAGAGAGTAGAATGATAGCTACCAGAGGCTGGGGTGGTTAGTGGGGCAGGGGAATGGGAAGGTGTTGGTCAATGGATATATAAAGTTAGATAGGAGGAATAATTTTCAAAATATCTATTTTACAGCAAGGTAACTATAATTAATAATGATATATCGTATTATTCAAAAATGTAGGCCGGGCTCGGTGGCTCATGCCTGTAATCCCAACACTTTGGAAGGCCAAGGCAGCCGGATCACTTGAGATCAGGAGTTCAAGACCAGCCTGGCCAACATGGTAAACCCTGTATCTACTAAAAACACAAAAATTAGCTGGGCATGGTGGCACACTCCTGAAATCCCAGTTAATCGGGAGGCAGAGGTAGAAGAATCACTTGAATCCGGGAGCCGGAGGTTACTGTGAGCCAAGATCATGTCACTGCATTCCAGCCTGGGTGACAGAGCGAGACTCTGTCTCCAAAAAAAAAAAAAAAAAGGAAAGAGATATTATGTATTCTTACCACAAAAATGCAAACCATGTGAGGTACTGCATTTGTTAATTAGCTAGATTTAACCAGTCCAAAATATATGTTTACTTCAACACATTATGTCCTACATAAAACACACAATTTTTTCTGTAAATTTAAAAATACATATTTTAAATCATTATCTCAGAAAAATAACTTTGTAAGATATTTATTTTATTTGATAAACTCTAAAATATGAATTTTCTTTTTCTTTTTTTTTTTTTTTTTGAGACAGAGTCTGGCTCAGTCACCCAGGCTGGAGTGCAGTGGCGCGATCTCGGCTCACTGCAAGCTCCGCCTCCCGCGTTCATGCCATTCTCCTGCCTCAGCCTCCTGAGTAGCTGGGACTACAGGCGCCCGCCACCATGACTGGCTAAATGAATTTTATTTTTCAAGGCTCAGAAAAAACTTACTTTATTTTTATTGTTTTATTGTATTTATTTATATACATATTTTTTTGATAAGGAGTCTTGCTCTGTCGCCCAGGCTGGAGTGCAGTGGCTCCATCGCCGCTCACTGCAAGCTCCGCCTCCCAAATTCACGCCATTCTCCTGCCTCAGCCTCCCGAGTAGCTGGGACTGCAGGCGCCCGCCACCACGCCCGGTGAAGTTTTTGCATTTTTACTGGAGATGGGGTTTCACCATGTTAGCCGGGATGGTCTCAATCTCCTGACCTTGTGATCTGCCCGGCCTCTGCCTCCCAAAGTGCTGGGATTACAGGCATGAGCCACCGCGCCCGGTTTATTGCTTACAGTGACAGTTGATTTCCATAATGGTTAAAATAATGGTAACTTAAGTGTGTACCTCTTGTTTTGTGAAGAAAACTAATATTCAAATAAAACAAACGCAGTGTAGATAAAATCCCAATGGCAATTTAGAACGTTGTCGGTAGAAAAACATTTTAATATTTAATTTTAACACACAACATCTTTGAAAAACTACAATTTTACATGTAAAGTCTAGATAAATTTTGTAATTACAATAAAATAAGCATGAATTTTTAAAAGATGCTGTGAAATAAACTAGTATACAAATTCTAGATCGACTATTAATCTTCCTCACCACACACACACAGACACACACACAAGTGTTTGCTAAGATGAAAGGCAATATTTCTGCTATTTATATCTCATTATTTGAAATGGCAGACCTATTTGTTTCCTGCCTTCTTAAAATCTAATTTACTTACTGCTACAATAAACACAGGCTTCTCTGATTATTTGCATCCACACACAGTGTCTCAAATATCCTATATTTGTGTCTGTGTATAACTGTGTACACATATACACACATATTCATATATATATTCTTTCATATATATATACACACACACTCATATATATATGCCTATATATATATATTCCTTCCTATATATATACATGTATATACACATACATGTATGTGAGTGTGTGTCTGTATACATCTGGACCTGTGGGTCTGGAGTTTACATCTGAATCAGAGAAAGAGATTTTATATATATGATATATATCTGTCTCTCATATATATAATCTTTTTATATATGTATATATAAAATCTCTTTCTCTGATACAGATGTATATCTGTGTACACACACTCATATATATATATATATAGGAAGGAATATACATATATATATAGGAAGGAATATATATATATATATAGGAAGGAATATATATAGAGAGAGGAAGGAATATATATAGAGAGAGGAAGGAATATATATATATATAATAGGAAGGAATATATATTTCTTTCTCTGATTCAGATATGTATCTGTGTACACACACACTCATAGATATAGGAAGGAGTATATATATATGAATATATATATGGGATGGAATATATATATATATTCCCATATATAGGAAGAAATATATATGTATATTTATATGAGTGTGTGTGTGTACACAGATATACATCTGAATCAGATTTCATATATATATAGAAAGAGATAAAGGGATAATATATTATATATATATACACACACATATATATATACACACACACATATATAATCTTTTTCTGATTCAGATGTAAATTCCATACCCACAGGTCCAGATGTGTAATCAGTGATATCATATACATATCTCATTAGCACATGAAATCTAACAGGTTTAGAACTGAACTCATCTTCCTCTTGCTTTCTTCCTCTATGTACCCCATCTCAAGAAACTGCATTATTATTTATTTGGTCAACTGACTTAGAAATCTAAGAATTATCCTTACTTCCTTATATTCTTGAAAGCTCATGCCTAATTGGCATGCATTCCCATCAGCTCTACCTTTATACACTCATGAGTGTGATCCCCTCCTGCCATTCCCACTGCCACTGGGTTTGCTTTATTTCAGGCCTTCATTATTTCTATTCTAGATTGCAGTGACAACCTCTTAACTTGGCTGCCTGCCAGTAGTCACTGCTGTTCCTCTTTAACTCGTTCTCCAGGCTGTGGCAAAACCATGGTTTTTTTTAATCAAAACAGGATTTTTAAACATCTCCTTGACAGCAGAATCTGATTATATGACTCTTCTACTTAAGGTTTCCAGTGCCCATGGGATAAAATCTAAATCCTTTAGGAGGCATACAACCTCTCTCCCTGTATCTCTAATACCTTTTAATGTCTCTTTTCATACATTATGTTGTAGCCATACCCCAATTCTAGTAGTTCTGTGTACGTATGCATGTGTGTGTGACTGTATATGTGTGTTGAGTGAAAATAACAGCAACAAAGAAAGAGAGATTGAAAGATGAAGAGACAGAGAAAGAGAAGAAATGAAGAGACAGAGAAACCAAAATTTCATTGTACTTTTTGATCTGGCTCATGAGATTTCAGATGGTTTTATGTTCTTCTTTGTGTTCCCTCCTATTTTCCATAATTTCTCAATTGTCATGTGTGTTTTGCAATTAGAGAAATAATCTAGCCTTACATGACACAACTGAATATTTGAAAACTGCATAGTTTTTGTTTCATTTTAAAGTCCACCTCATCTATTTACAGCCATTCTTTAAAACCATATGACAAATTGACTTTAATCATTTTGAAAATTATTATAGTCAGTTACTTTTAGAACTCCTACATTCTTATAATTCTTCTGTGAATAAATATTTACTTCAAGACAAAATATGTAAATTAATTATAGCTTAGTATGACCTTTATACATATTGGAGGAGTTATAAAATATATATTTTATCAAAGACTATACTCTTAGAATGCAATAACAGATTTTATAACTTATTTATACTTGTATAGAAGAGTTACATAAATATAATATAGTTTATTCAATACCATGTGATTAGAAATTGAAGTTTCATGATGGTTTTGATATTTAGTATATATTAAATGCTTTCTACAACATAAAACAGAAAGGTTCCTGCGATTGAGGTACAGATCAAGTGTAAGGGGACTTTAGAGTCAGTAAAGATTATAAGATTACATTTGATTTTTACTTTATTTATTTATAAGTCATTTCACAATACTTTGTTAGACTGGCAGAATATTAAGATGAAAAAAATACCTGGAGTAAAATTTAGTTTGAATGAAGTTTTGACAAAAAATATTAAAAGTGAGAGATAAGCTTGTAATTGGTTAAAATCAAATTGTAAAAGTCTCAATTTCAGGCTAACAAGGTTTCACATTATTCTACCACACAATGTAAGTCATTTCAATATTTTCCACAAATGGAAGACAGGATTCACATTTCTGAACAGGAAGATGAGCTCTCATAATTATATACAAAATAGATTGCAGATTTATGGAGGCAACTGTTAACATAGATAATAATTATTCTATGATAATGACATTAGGTACCAATATTTATCAAATGTTTAACTATAGTCTATGCAGTGTGCCAGAAGAGATACATACTGCCTGAAATGCACACATATTTAACATTATGTATATAATATTATGTCATATATTATATAACAACACATTCTGAATACTAAAATTCACTAAGAATTAGTGTTTTCCTACTGGTTTTCAGATAGGGACATTGACTTAGCTGGCTTAACTACATATTCACAAAGCCAATACTTTGTAACTTATTTGGAATTCAACTACAAAGAGAGGAATATAGAAATACAGTGCAAGGCAGGAGGGAGGTAAATTAATGTTATGAGCAATATGGACCTGGGCCAGGAAAATAGCCTTATACTAAGTGGAAAAGCATAGATGATAGAAGTTACATCACTTAGGTAGTCATGGCTTTAAAGAGAGAATGAGGGGGAGAAATTGAAAATGCCTGAAAGCTTGAAGGAGAAGTCAATATCTGGAGGATATTTTTGTGGGAAGACAGATGGCATAGTCAGTTTTCATTTTCAGGTATCAAAATAATAGCCAGTTAGAAGAAGTTTAAAACATAAAAGTTGGACTTAAGGGAATGAAGAATATAGGAGACAGGAAAGAAATGACATCTTACTACTGCACATTTTGTTTTGGAAAGTGTGTATATTGGGATGATAATTAAAGCCATTATAGTCCAAGAAAAGGGCATATAAAAAACAGGCACGGGCCAAAGATAAATTATTGAGGAACATCTGCATTTGGAGCATAAGAGAAAGATGGGATAGGAGTATGTGAAAGTTGAGTCACAATGTAATGGATGAAAGGTTAGCTGGTAGTAGTAAAACAGAGATAACAAGCAAATTTTTAAAATAGTTTTTAAATCATGAAAAATAAGATAATGCAATAACTTCAGAGGGAAAAACTACGAGGGAGTTTTGTGTTTTTCTTTTTTGGGAAAGGACAGGAGGGTGACATGCTTTACAGTTAGAGAAAGAACTAGTTGGCAATCAAAATATTAAAAATGCAAAGAGAAAAACAGAAAATTGCTAGAGTGGGATCTCAGAAGGGAGTAAATGAGATCAAGAGCAAAGTCACACTGTCTAGATTTAAAGATATCTACTTTCTCTTCTGAGACAAAAAAGAGTAAACTAAAAATATATCAGAGGTGAATGAGGGGGTGGGGAGTTCCTGTTGAATGATTTCCCCAACCTTGACAGCTAGAAATTTCTGTCCTATGAAAAGTAGGTGAAGTTGGATTGTTATTGAGGGCTTCTATTTGGGGTGAAAAGGTTTGTTAAGAGTATATATGAGAAATGTGAGGAGGAACAATCAAAGTTGAAATAAAGAATGTTACATAATAGAACCTCACAACTTCTCTTCCCCTGTCATAGGTATTCAGTATGCATAGATCATAGTTCATAATATAGCGATAGGACTCTAATTTAGGAGAGTAGTTTTAAAATACCACTCTGGTGTTTATTTGCTGTGTTTATAATTCTTGTTCAATTAGATTAAATTTGTCATTTACCATAGCACGTGTATCATCCAAGTAGCTGAGGTAGTATAATTTTTTTGTCAATTATATTTTAATATTTTTCAATATACTGATTCATTCAGCAAATAATTATTAAGTGAATTTCTTCCTATTCAATCTTGTGTTAAGTATTGGGGAGGAAAAATAGAATGTTACTTTGATATTTCAGCATCATAATAAGTATTAATCTTACATGCAACCACAAAAAACTCAATCTGTGCCAGATTTTACTTTAAAACCTCAAGCAAAGGTCAATATCAGCAAAAGTAATTGAACTCATGTATTGACCACTTACTTTGGGATACATTTTCTGCTAAATATTTCCATATATTCTCTCCTTAACCCTCAGGTTAACTGTATGATGTAGTACTATTATTTTTCTCATTTTATAGAAAAGGAAACCAACAAAAGAGGTTAAGTAAATTGCTAATGATAATATGGCTAAAAATAGTGGAACTAACTTGAACCAAATCTTTGTGATTCCCAAACTGGTTTATTTTACTAGGGCAATACTAAAGAAAATAAAAAGTAAGTAAATCTAAGAAGAAAATTTCAAAGGATGAATGACTCTCAATAAGAATACCGTCTGAGCTCAACGACACGTCTAAAACTAAAATCAAACAGACAAAATGACCTCACGTGCACAAACACATACTACCTGAAAAAGAAAGCATTTATCTTTATAACAAAGACAAATTTTGAGAATTTGGAAATTCAATAACATATCGTGACTTTATAAAACAGCTACATTTAACTTTAAATATTAAAAGCAAAAATATGGAACACAAGGCTAGCCAATATCCAGACTTCGCATTTTTTTTCTTGAAATGTGATCATTACCTCTTCATCTTCCAGTGATGCTCATCTGAGCATAAAAGGAATTGACAATTCATGAAGATGCAACCATATTCATGTCTAAGTTTCTCTGGCAAATTATACAGATTCTCTGAAAATTATACAAATTTTCAGCCTGTTTTTGTCTGGTGTTGTAAGCTACACGAAACTTTTAAAGATCGTACATGTTTATCTGCTTCTAGTGATAGATAACTACATATCACCAACAACTTTCATATATCATATTTGACAACATTGTTAAATATTAATCCATATTCTGATTTAAAGTGCTTTTTCTGTTTCACGTAATCATAGTGAAAACATTTACTTAACCATTTTAAAATTGCATTCAAATTTTTTTTGAGTCTTTCCATAAACTTGGGAAACAATTAAAATATTATTAATACTGCATTGTACCAATAAGGAGAGTGAGACTTGAGTGATTGAGTAACTTGCTGTAAGTTGCCCTGTACGTTTGAAAATTGAGGGCTGTAATTAAGAATAAATGTTTCTGTATCATCATTCTTACTCTTCAGCATTGTTCTTTAAATAAAATTCCCGGCCATATTTTCTGTCCTTGTACCTAGAACAAATATCTACAGGATAAGAATGTTAGGTTGTTCCCTTTACATATCCCAAATACCCAAAATAGTATCTGTTATGTTTTATATAAATATGTGTGTATAATATACATATATATATGAATATGCATGTATATATATAAATACAATTGTCCTATCCACTAGTAATTTTGCTTCAGCAGATGTAGTGTGGTGCTGACAATCAGGTTTAAATAAATGATGTAGTTTTCTAAAAGCAGAAATTTGATTAGCTCTTCTATATGTACACTAGACTCAACACTTCTGTGCTGAGCTGAAGTGTAATGAATGCAGATAAAACAAAATAAGAAAAATAGGAGAGACAGGAAAACTTTGGTAAAGAATATTAGGGGAGAAAATCAAACTAAACAAAAAAATCGAAACAAAATAACCCTAATGGCCTAGAAAGCACCCTAATGTGGTCTTGGTCAATCAATGGTAACTGCCTGTTCCTTCTATTCCTGTTGCCCATTCTTGTGTATTTGAATTCGTAGAAGTGCTGCACCAACTTTTCTCTCTGTTTAATTCTTGACACTTCTATGTAGACAATGATGGGTAAGGGAATGTGGTTGAGGAGAAAGGAGAAACTACCTAAAGAGCAACAAAAGTTGAAGCAGCCAGTTGCCCCAAGGTCCAAAAGAACTTGACTCTGAGAAAGAAAAGACAGCCAATAGTGATGAAAGAAACTGAACTTTCCTAATCCTAAAACAAGAGAGTGATGACGTGGTCCCACCAAGATTTCAAAGAGGTGAATAAAAGCTCACACCCTAACTGTAATATTATTATCATTTCTTCAATTATTCTTTAAGAAATTGATGGAATATGAGTTTAAAATATTTTGTCTTACACAAGTTAGGCTGATGAGCTGGTTAAGATTTTATAATGTTTTGGACACATAGAAATTAAGTCAGTTTCCAAAAATATGAATACTCATATGTAGGCAGGTGGTGTAAATTAGAAGTTGGGTGCCAACATGTGCCTCTCTTTAGTTTGCAATGCTGTATTTACTGCAAAGGAGAACCACAGAGCAGCCATTATCATCATGTGTGGGATCTTAACACATGCCAGAGGGCTGAGGAATCATACAGAGAGCACGAGTCTCAGTTTCCTCAAATCATCTGTCTGTTTGATTTTTCTTGAGAAGTTTCTACAGTGGTGAAGTTGAGGGATATTTTGTAGAATAAACACAGCTAATATTTCTAAGATTAAAATGAGCTGCAAAAGATTCCTGGATAATACAAGGCTTAGCAAATTGAGTCATGACTTAAGAGAAACAATCTGGACGCTGAGCTCAGAAAAGAACTAGGAAAGACAGAAAAACAATTAAATACAACAAAATCTTTTTGGAAAAGTTAGATCAAGTAAGAGAGAAACATATCACAGTTCTTAAATTTATATTTTAAACTAAACCATCAAATTAGAAACTTAGTAAGTTCTGTTTTGTTTATTTAAACTAATAAATATTACTTACAATGAATCACAAATTGTCATAGGCAGCAATAAAGAAACATTCTGTGAATTTTCACGAATAGAAAAATTGCATTAGAAATAATGGGAGCAAATCAAATGAATGGATCAGAATAATGATGTTTGCAGAAGTTAGGGGAAGATAAAATAATTATACATATATGTATAGAAAATAAATGGTAAAAGAAGCAAGCTGTAAATTTAAACTTCCAAAATAATGCTAATGCAAAAATACATTAATTAAATACAATTTAGGATAAGAGAATTAGAAAAAAACTATAAATAATGCTATTCCTTGAAAAGAAATGCAGATTTTTTTTTCAATCACATAAAATGCTCAAAGTAGGCACACAAGACCTTGCCTAGTGAAAGTCCTTTATCCCAAACAAATTGATGACACTGTAAGATTTGTTTATACCTGCCTTGTATAGTTTAGTTGTTAAAGGCAGAAAGACCTGAATTTGAAATCCATCTCTACCTGTATTTTAAGCTAGTGCTTTATTTACATGCTGATTCTTAATGAGCAAATACATCATAATCTGTGTTGTTAGGAAACAGTGTTTAAAGATTTAATAAAAAATGCACTGGTATACAGTTTATAACTCCATGTGTAAACCGAAGACCTCAGTACATTGTATTCATAGTTTCTGTACTAGCCAGATTACTCCCAGCTAAAAGTAAGACAATCAGTAATAAAATTAGCTAAAAATAGAGAAATTTATCATCTCATATAAAAGGAAGCAGGGTAGGCTTCAGGATTATTTGTTTTAAATTGGTTATTTCAAGACCTCATCAAAAGTCAAAGCCTTTCAACTTTGTGGGCATGAGTCTCAGACCGGCATTAAAAAGACAACTGTAGGGCTTGGTGTCAGATTCAGGAAAGGAGGGGCTGTGGTTTGAATATGTCCCTTCTAGAATTCAGATGTTGCCAATGTGATAGTATTTAGAAGGTGAGGTTTTTTAGAGGTGATTGGGCCATAAGGCCCAATTGTGACTGTGCCCTTATAAAAAGGTTTGACTAAGGCAGTTTGTCTTTTTTGCCATTCTACCTTCCACCATGTGAGGATACAGTGTTCCTCCCCTCTGGAGGACGCAGGACTCACCAGACAACCAAACCTGCCAGTGCCTTGATCTTGGACTTTCCAACCCCCAGAGCTATGAGAAAAACACATTTTTGTTCTTTATAAATTACCCAGTCTGTACACACACACACAAATGAACTAAGACAGAAATTGATACAGGGATTGGACTATTGTTGTAACAAATATCTAAAAATGTGGAAGCAAGCTTTGGAACAGGGTAATGTATAGAGACTGGAAGAGTTTTGAAGGGATTGCTAGAAAAAGCCTCTATTGATATAAACTGAAAATTACGGGGGATCTACCAAGGGCTCAGAAGAGGAGAACTGCAGGGGAAGCCTCAGTTGTCTTAGTGATTACCTAAGTGGTCATGACTAGAATACTGGTTGAAATATGAACAATAAAGGCCATTCTGATTAGGTCCCAGATGGAAATGAGGAATATCTTATTGGAATTTGTAGAAAAGGCTATCCTGGTTTACAAAGTGGCAAAGGCTAGGCTGTCTGTGTCCTAGGACTTTGTGAAAGGCAGCACTTAAGAATGACTAATCAGGATATCTGACAAAAAAATATCTCTTAGTAGAAAATTGCTGAGGGAGATACCAGGGATTTGTTAACTGATTATGGTAAAATGTGAGAAGAGCTAAAAAATTAAAAGACAGAATTTAACCCACTTACACCTAGTGTTCCATTATTGGAATGCTAAGCTTGTGGGAGTTATTTATACCCTGCTTCTCAAGGTCATCACCAAGGCCTGATTTTTGACAAAAATATTTGCCACATCTGGCATAAATGAGTTAAAATCAAAAGGAAAGCAAAATGTAAAAATCTGTAAAATTCCCAGGCTGGCCACATAAACAATGAAAATAAAAATCTGTCTAGCAGAGAAAACCAAGGGATGGGTCATCTACTATTAGATAAGGAGACTAGTTTGGATAGACGGGTGCCAGGTGCTATTCATCAAGACAGTGGGAGAGTGACTCTGAAGACATTTCAGGGTTTTTAAATGCTGTCATGCCCACCACAGGTCCAAAGTGCCAGGGCCTTGGTGGCAGAACAGTTTCAAGTGAGGAAGAGCTCAGGTTACCTGTGGAATTTCAGTACTCCAAATGTTCTTGAAGCCCAGAACTCCTTCAAGTCTCTGCACCCATTGTTTTTGTACAGTGCTAATTGGCTGCTTCAGTTGTGGTGTAGGTGGCCCAGTTGTGCCTGAAATCAATGTTCCAGAGGGTGCAAGCATTGAGCCCTAACCATGCCACCATGATGCTAAATCTTCAGTCAAGCAGAGTGCATGAGCTGTGGAGGCTTGGATTTCAAATCATCTCTACCTGGACTTCAAGTGATACCTCAGAGAGCCTCAGGTTCTAGGCAGAGAATTTTGTCACGGGCGGGAGCACCAAAGAGAGTCCTCAAAGGGAGAGGCATAGTGCAGGAGGGGGCAGGGGGACAGCTACATCACAGATAGCACCCACTAGGGCAATGATTGATGGAGTTGTGGCAGCAGGGCCGCTCGAGAGGCCAAAGCCTGGGAGAGCCACAGGCACTGAACTCCAACCCATGAGAGCTGAAGGGAGCTGTACCCAGCAAAGCCATGCTAATAGGGTCCTCTGGGGCATTTGGGGCCCAACCTTACCCCAGTGTGTCCAGGAAGTGGGCCATGGAGTCAAAGATTGTTCACATGTGGTTTGCCTCACTGTGTTTTGGACTCACTTGGGACCTATTACCCCTTTCTTCTTGCCTACTTCTCCCCTTTGGAATATAAACGACTGTCTTGTGTCTGTCTTACCATTACATTTTGAAAACATGTAACTTGTTTGCTTTCACAGGTTCAGAGCTGGAGAACAATTTACCCCAGGATGAAACACTCTTGAGTTTCACTTATATGATGTTTAGATGAGACTTTGGACTTAGACTTTAAAGTTGATTCTGAAACAAGTAAAGAGTTTTTGGAGCTATTAAGATGGAATAAATGAATTTTTTTTAATGTGAGAAAATCATGAATGTGAGGGAGCTAGGGATATAATGCTATGGTTTGAATGTGTCCTCTCCGAAATTCAGGCGTTGCCAATGTGATAGTATTAAGGGGTAAGGCCTTTAAAAAGGGATTAGGCCATAAGGGCTCTTCCCTTCTGAATGGGATTAGATGTCTTTATTAAAGGGCTTGATGGAGGGAGTTTGCCCCTTTTGTCCCTTCACCTTCTATCATGTGAGGGTACAGCATTCCTCCTCCTAGTGGATGTGGCCTTACCAGACAAACAAACCTGTCAGTTCCTTGATCTTGGACTTCCCAACCTTTAGAACTCTGAGAAAAAAAAAAAAAATCTTTGTTTTGCTTTTATAAATTACCCAGTGTGGTATTTCATTATTGCAGCCCAAAAGGACTCAGAAAAATAGAGTTCAGAGTGATAAATACACTGTATTTTCTTAAACTATTTTTTCTTTAGGAAGCAAGAGATTACCTACTGACCCAACAAGTGAAGGGTTATAATGCATAAAAATAATACTTTTTCCTGTGTGATTTATTTTTCCTGAATGACAAAGCATTCCTAACAGTGAGAGTTGAATGTTATTTCAGGAAATAGGGAAGGAGGTAATGTGCCCCGTCACTGACAATGTTAAAATGATCAATTGCAGATATTCTAGAGCAGACTCAAGAACTTGAGACAAATATATAAATCTTAGATTACTTTGGCATATTTTTTTGTTTTCTTTGTAAGTTACCATTTATTAAGCATGCATTTATTGACTGCCTACTATACGCCAACCAGTAGAAGGACACAATTATTTCACTTTAGGCACAAACTCAAAGTAGGCACTGGAGATACAAAACATGAATAGATCAATTCCTGTTGGCACTATTTAGAAATTAAAGAGAATCTAGACTCTAAAAACTAATAAGAATAAATAAAATATGTCATTTACATTTAATTTCTAGAATGAAACACAGTAAACAGACATTCTAAAAAATACAATTATGTTTTATAAAAACCTGTGATATGTCATCATTTTGATAAACACCCTTTTTGGTGAAATCTTATATTGCAATTATTGTATTTATATTTATTAATGCATTTTATACATGTTAGTTAAATTTACTACTTCATATAAATATCTAACATTTAGATTCCAAATTAAGCTCAAAATAATGGAAAAGATATTGTAATGAGGAATAGGAAAGAAGAGGCTGATAATAATAGCCAGTTTCTCTGGAGGCATGATCTGGGAGGATACAGCTGCTTTCCTTTAAGCAGTGGCCAGTGTCTTCAGAAAAGAAATGTTTTTATGTATCTTTACATGAAATAGATAGATACTATTTCAAATTACAAATTAACTCCAACATAGGGAATCTTAATATAATGATCAAGGTATGTAATCTAAATCTTTTAAAAAGAACTCTGATCTTCATTTAAACTTAATTTCAAAATGAAGAGTAAACATTAGCATGTTGAGTGGATAATTAAAAAATAAATTATATTCTTATAGCATTATTTTTGTATGCAATTAGCATTGCATTCTCTGCTTGAAGGATAATTCATACAACCCATTACCCTGTCCCAAATAAAAACTTCCTGGGCATAGCCTATCTTGTCTTTCCTTACACTGATTCATTTTCTGGAAGACCATTTTGTTCCTTTTTCCCTTTTTCTTACTTGTGAATTTTTACTAACTTAAGGCCCAGTTCATATTATCCTCTCTGTAAAGACTTCCCTTGAGACCCAAATAAATTTGTTGTTCCCTCCAATATGTTCATAATCCTACTATACCATGCATCACAGCGTAATAAAGTTAACTATTCATGGTACTCTGGGACTTTCTTGGGGCAAAAGCAAGAGCAACATTGCATTTAATTTTGCATTTTTAAAAATATTATAGATACTTAGAAAAGGAGGATGCTCAATAAATGCTTATTCAGTAAATGAGGTATGGATAATTATGCAAACAGCCAAAGACATTACTTAAATTTTGGCTGAACGGAAGGACATCACAAAGTTTTTCATAAATTATATGAATATGTGTGATAATGTAAACAAAATAGAAGAGAAAAATGCTCCACTGATGGCCATAGGGGGTAGCCAGAGTGTGAATGTCCAATTTTTTTTATAATACTTTGGTCATGACCTATGATTGAATAGATATATTAAGAACGAGAAGGAATAAAATTATTCATCACATTTATTCTCTTAACAATTAGTTAATTGTACACCTTGCTACGGTTTGAATGTGTCCCCCCAAAGGCATGTGTTAGAAACTTAATCCCCCAAGGAACAGTATTGAGAGGTAGAGACTAATGGGAGGTCTTTAGGTCAGAGGGCTCCACTCTCATCAGTGGATTAATGGATTAATGCCCATTATGAAAGGACTTGAGACAATGAGTTCAGTCTCTTGCTGTATATCACCATTTCTTTTCCTTTCCGCCATGAGATGATGAAGCAAGAAGGCTTTTGCTAGATGCTGACCTCTTATTCTTGGACTTCCCAGCCTCCAAAAACATGAATCAATAAATTTCTGTTAATTACAAATTACCTAGACTGTAGTGTTCGGTTATAGCAGCACAAAACACACTGAAATAACTATTACACTTATTATGCACAAATCGCACTAAAGCCATACTGGTTTATTTTAGAATGTACAATTTCCCCAGATAAGACAAGCTCCGGTATGTTAAGAGTCTTAGCTTAGACAGATTCTGGTTCCCTACTCTGTAGTATAGAAATTTGATCCACTTCCAGGTACCAGAAAATATGAGCTCTGAGTTTATGGTCCCGCTCACATTTCAGCTCGCACCAGCCTGTGGAAGATTTGTGGCAGTATATCCCTCCTCAGCCACTCCTTCTCAAGTTCTGTACTCTGAAAGCAACTGCAATTTCCTTGACTTTTGCTGCATTCAGCAAAGTCAAAGAATATTTGACAAAGAATATTTGTCCTCAGAAGATCTGTTAACCAATGTGTAACTCTAGCTTTCTATGTGTTTCTCAAAAACATATCGTATATTTATCTAAACTATAAACAATAAACTTAAAAAACAAGCATATTGTTAATGAATTTAGATGAAATATCCATCTATTATTTTAGATGGATTGTATAAAATTCACCTTGTATGAGAGAAATTAAAAGGCACTTTATCTGTGTTAGCATACCTAGGAACTAGTTACAGCAAGCTGGTTTTGTTTTGCTTTCAAAAAATTAAATATTCACCTAACATAATTTTTTGTCTTTCAGATCAGACTTCTGATTATAAAAACATGGAAAATTGAAAATTAACCTGTCACCCCTGAAGATAAATAGTTAGACATTTTTCCCATCACAGAATCAGAAGACATAATGTTATTTTCCAAAGAGTTGGAAGGTAAAATTCAAGCTAATCAAAACTAATTATCCCCTCCCAATAGAAAGAAGAAAAATATCATAAAGGATCTGATCTTTTCAGTTTTAAATATGTGGGTCAATTGTTAATGACATCTTAATTTTTTTTTTTTATTTTGAGACGGAGTCTCGCTCTGTTGCCCAGGCTGGAGTGCAGTGGCGTGATCTCGGCTCACTGCAACCTCTGCCTCCCAGGTTCAAGTGATTCTCCTGCCTCAGCCTCCCAAGTAGCTGGGATTACAGGCGCCGGCTACCATGCCTGGGTAATTTTTGTAGTTTTAGGAGAGACAGGGTTTCACCATGTTGGCCAGGCTGGTCTCGAACTGCTGACCTCGTGATGCGCCCATCTCGGACTCCCAAAGTGTTGAGATTACAGGCGTGAGCCACCGCACCCGGCCAATGACATCTTAATTTTTAAGAAATCATAAATGTATATGAAAACCATAGTAAAATGTCTTTACATATAGCTATTTGACATCATGGATCTGAAATTAAGGACAACTAGCTGAAGTATTAGCTTAGAAAGAAAGTTCTGTTTCTGAAGATTGTAAAATATCTGCGGACTCATGGCAATGTTACCTTTTATTTGTGACTCTTAAGAAGTATACTGTTTGTCCTAATGATTTGTCTTACAGTTACACTATTTTCGTTCAATATCTAATAGTTTTAGCATTAAGGTAATTATCTGTCATCTTAAATGTAATATCTTTATTCTTATCATAGTGTTATCTTGGAATGAAATATATTATCATGTTGATATTCTGTGATACCTAGCGCATATGACTTTCAGAAGTTTGTACCCATATTATTTATTCTGCTTAAATTAATTTAATAAGCAAAGCCCACAAGTAAATTTTAAATTAAGTATAATGTGGCTACACAACAACACAGAAATGATCTAGATAAAATATATTAATCACTCCTCTGGATTTCAAATTACTTATGATTTATTCTGAATTTATTATATGGCTGTCAATGGCCACTGAGCTACCTGTTTATACACACACAACACATATATGTACCATATTTATCTATATACATATTCAAAAGAGCAAAAAAATAACTAAACATTTATGCTTATGTGTTTGCATGTGAGTATAGTCTTCTTTGGAATTTGATTAATAATTTCAAAATAAGAAAACTTTTATTTTCTCCAAGAGTAAGTTTTTCTATAAATTGTAAAATAATTCATAATAGATATTTAAAGTACACAATCTTGCAAATAGAAGTAAAATCTTAGTTCCTATTTTGATTTAAAATGCAATATTTTAAACCTATATGGATCAGAGAATACTTTGTACTGGTCAAGGATAATCAAAAATTGCTAACTTGTTTTCTTATGCTAACCAATGGTTGTGGGCCACACTTAAAGTGAGGCAAAACTGGAAAACATTCAAAAAGCAGAATTTAACTCTTTTATACGAGTCTGGTTATATCAGGATTTACCTTAATTAAAGCTTCTGAGAAAGTGGGCAAACCCTTAATAACCATTTGAGTTATCAAGATCTTCTGTTCTGATGGGCAGTTGTGGGACGGGGACTCTATAGTAGTAATGATCACCACTGTTGAGTGGCATGTCCATCCAATTTGGGTGGTGAAACCTGAAACTTTTCAAAGTAGCAGTGTTGGAAGGGATTCACTATGATCATCATATTTCAAGGCTGGAAGCAGGAATTACTGAAATCTTACCTGTTGGAAACCATATTGACCTAAACAAGAGAATTCCACAGTGTAAAAATTCTCTGACCTTAAATCAGGAATGGGAATAAAAGAGTAAAAAAAGAATAGTTTATTCCGCTTTGTCCACCTTAACCACTATATAGTCGTCTTTATTGTTATTATTTCTATTTTCTTCATTTCTTACAGGTGCGGTTCTAAATTGTAAATGTGGTTATCTTTTAAAAATTTTCTCATTAATTATCCCATATCTCAACATCTCTTCTTTACCATCCACACCAGCATATTCCCTCTCTCCATACCTTCCCAGGTTCCGATCCAAACCTCATTACAGAAAACTAAATTAGAAATTAGATTGGAAAAAACATGTAAATCTCTCCCAGAATACAGAAAAAAAAGAGAGAAAGGTAAAAAATTAAGATGTGAGATACTGAAGGCAGAATCAGAAAGAGCTTATTTTAATTGTGTTCATGAAGAAGAGACTAAAACAAAAAAAGACATGAGCAGATATCAGCAATGAAGAGTTTAAAGAAATGAGAAAAAAATGAATCTTAAAATGAATCAATAAGGGCTACTGATTTTCAGGAAAATTTGAAGAATGATGCAAATTCTAAGAATATTCCTCTTCCAGTAGTTAGGCATATAAAAAGGAGAGTGGTGAGAATTCTAAGAATCTTCCTTTTCCAGTAGTTATGCATATAAAAAGGAACAGAGATGCTGATAATTTTAACATAATTCCTAATGCTTTGCCTGCTTCTCAGAAGCTATGATTAAGACAAATTCTGAGAAACTCATGAATACTCCCAAATTGAAAGAGAAATTTTAATAAAGACACACCAAGCAGATTTTCTTTTTCTTATTGAGAAAACTTGAGGGAGATGGAGGAGAATGTAAAAGTGGCAAGTGTGGAGAAACTAGTGAAAAAGAGAAATCATACAATCCAAAGCAAGTTTTGATGAGTGATATGTTACAGCGTTTATAAATGATTTAGTAAATTACGCCAATTCCTTAGTTAGAATGAAGTGACTTTGAACTAAATGACCAGACAAAAAGCACAGGACTCTGTTCATAACCCAATAAGTGTCAAGTCTACACAAAAGTGACAAAACAAACAAACAAAAAAACCCACCATCAAACCATAGGTATCCCATATGGTGGAAAAGGAGTAATGGAACATTCATCCATAGCATTTTAGAACAAATGGCTGTAAACAGAATTACCCAAATTTAACATAACCAAGAAAAAATATATTAAATTATAAAAATATATTAAATACTCCTAATAAGATCTCATGGCAATAATAATAGAAATAATGTTCTGAGACCCTTACTGTCTAATTTACAGAACTAGAACTGTAAAATCATGTGCTCTTGTGGTTGTGCTCTTAAAAGCCAATAAGTAGGCGATAATTTGTCAATGGCAGCAATAGGAATTTCACATGTAACTGAAGGACATTTTACACACTCAAGCTGTGTCCAGAAAGAAAACAGACAGGCTGACACAGGCTTGAAAGAATGGTGGGCACTCTCCTGGTTGTTCTAATGGGGTTGACTATGAACTACAGGCCCAGACTGTTCTTCCTTGTTTTACATTTACATGTCTAAGGGGCAGTGAGATTTCCCAATGCAGTGAGTGACTTGAGAGGCAGCTAGATAACATGAATCAAAAAAAAACCAAAACAACTACAACAACAACAACAACAACAACAACAACAAAAACACAGGAGGCAAGAAAGAATGTTAAAAGGAATTAGCATTCTATATTTTCTTGTCCTCTTTTTCCATAGGGAAGACTGACCATACTGTACATATTCGAAAACTGTGATTTAAACATATGCATGGACACTCACATGCACACATACACACAATCTTTAAAAACAATGTTATTATTTTAAGAACTCATTTAGAAAATAATATCTTGAGGTAAAGAAAATGTTTCTAAATATCAATATATAATAGTTTTATTTTTCATGTTCTATAACACTAAAGTAAATTAATTTCTCTATCTAGTTCTATTTTATGACTTTTTTCTCATTTCCCTTTCTACTTTATTTGTATCTGCAGAGAGAGATGAGATAAACATTGTGAAGTAATAACCATGTTCTTTATATAAATAATTTGAAATAAGAAATTCAAACTAACACATAAAGAACAAATGGCAGTAGATTCCTTGATTATATTTATTAGCAATCCAATTATTACAAGATAAATATTTTCTCATACTATTAAACCTACATTTAAATATTATTTATCTTGTATATGAAAAATGTGTAATATATTTAAGAATATTTTACTTTACTGTTTAACCCTAACCCCATGTCTATCATCCTATAGCAGCCAATATGACTAAAGGCATTTCTATTTTACATATCAGCTATTTAAAGTAAAACATGTATTCTCACCATCTTAACCAAAACAGAAAGGCAAAAATGCAAGTAGTCACTTTCAATATATAATGAAAATCTAGCTAAATTACTTATCAAGAGCAGTGAGAAAAGTTGTAGTGACAAAAACAATGCATCTACATCCTTTAAGGAAATTTCCATCTAGTTTTGGAGCTAGAACTAATGTATGAATCATATAGGGAATCATCATTAATCTGAAGGGTTCTTACTCCAAATACAACTGAAATTGCATTGGTTAAGTGTTTAATACCCTACTTCCAAAATCAACAGGAAAAATAGAAATCTCCTGATATTTTCTGAAAGCAATCACATTGCAATCTTGTGAAATGTCCTGCATTTTTTTTTCTTGGAGTGTTCCTGAATTATAAATGTTTAAGAATGGCAGCAGGCAAATCTATTCTAAATAGGACAGCAAGGGGGAATATTGGTTACTGTTCATTTGATCCTGGTGTCTTGGTTAAATAAAACTATTTTGTCTAATAACTTGCCATCTTCTTATTCAAGAATATAAATACATTGGGATTAATTTTGTGGTGCCCCAATATAATTTTGCTTGAATTGGGATTTAGAAATAAACTTTTTTAGAAAACCAGATTTTATCATTTTTCTTTTTTTAACTTATAAACAAGTTCTGCATAGAAACTGAGCAGATAGTGAGCACTCATTGCTTGGGCCCTAAATAGAATACAAATACATAAATCATCATTCTTATATGAGACTGTCTCATTTAACTGAACATTTTTTACTAGCATACCCAAAATAATATTACACAGTGTATTACTATTCATGATTTCATTTGGTCTTCACTCTACCATAAGGCTTATTCAGATACAAGGCGGGAAGAGTTAGCACAGCCAGTGTGGTGAGCAAGCCTTTCTTGAGTATTTAAGATTTTAGCTAGGTCTTAACAAATGGTAAGATTCTTAGACATGAAGATGAGACTCTAGGAAATTCAGAGTGAAGGAAACCATGTTTATAACCCTCTGAAGGAAGAATAGGCATGCTGACCTTGTAGGGTGGTGACAACAGGAGCTCAACAAATTATATTGCAAATATAAGGAGTAGACTACTTGGAGAGGGCCTTGAAAACAGAATTCTGACATCATGAAATAGAAACTATTACATAAAATATTTTGGCAGGATATGACAACTAAAAATGGTGCTTAAGAAAAATTGATAATGAAGTGGTATTGGAGAGGAGATGAAGTATACAGCATATAGTGAGATCATTGCAGTAACACGATATTATGTAAAAGAAAGATTTAGTGATACATATTTTGCTGCAATAAATGTATTCATAAATTTGGAGTAAAAGCAAGAGACATTATTTATGTATTGAGGCATGTTTTTAGTCTTGTCAAATTATTCCACTCTGTCATAAAATAATTCAAAATACATTAGTGTTAATGGTTGTTGTTTTGACCCAAACAAGTCAAAGGGATATATATATTTTTTAAATTAAAAGTCACTCAAAGTCATGTCTATCAGTGAATTTATGCACAGGCACTAACTGGATAAGAAAATGTAGTGCTGGATCAAAGCAGTGACAGAGAAGAGGCCGCCTATTTTTTGACATAATTGTACAAACCCATGCTATGATCTACCTTCCAGTCTTTCAATATAAATTTATTTAATACATTTTGATCTTTTAAGACTCCTGGAAGCCATATTTAATTTACATGAAAATTAAATGTGTGGTTGGTCTATATGTGTAAGCTAAAAATAATTTTACTTGTGTGTGTGTGTATGTGTTGCATGTCAGCCCTTGACATTCTGTTTGTCTTGTCTATATTCTGGTTTGAGAACTCATTCATTTTCATGACTTTGTTCATTACCTCTTTGCTGGTAATCTAAAATACCATATGTGTTGCTCCTAAGGAATGTTTTTAGAACCTTTGTTTTCTTTTTGTTTGTTTGTTTTTAGAACTTATTTTTTTGGTGAGAGGGAAGTAGATTTTTTTTCTACGTGGAATATTGCATGGAAGCCAATAAATTTCCATAACCCTCCTCTCAATTCCTACTGTTTCTTTACTATAACCTTATTTTCAAATTTCCACAAGATTTTTGTCTTGGAATCATCTGTCCTTTTTTTATAGGTGAGATGCAGGATTATATCTGGATGCACTCACCTGACTAATTTCTCTGTTCTCTCATTGATTCTCTTAAGAGTATCCTCTGTCTACATAAAAAAACAGGAAAAACAAAATAAAACAAAAGGCTGGGCACAGTGACACCTGTAATCTCAGAACTTTGGAGGACCCAGGCAGGAGGATTACTTGAGCCCAGAAGTGGGAGACCAGCCTGGGCAACACAGTGAGATCCCGTCTCTATAAAAAATAAAAAAAAATAACTTGTCACAGTGGTGCATGTCTGTAGTCCCAGCTACTCGGGAGACTGAGGCGGGAGGTTCACTTGAGCCTGGGAGCTCAATGCTACAGTTAGCCATGATTGTGCCAGTGCACTCAAGCCTAGGTGACAAAGTGAGATCCTGTCTAAATAGAAAATAAATAAATAAATAAATAAATAAAATAAATAAATAAATAAAAGATTAAAAGAAGAAAAAAACACTCATAGAAACCTCTTACGTGAGTGCAGGTAAAGACTATCTGGATACTTGCTTACATAGCCAGTTGCTCTGGCAATGTGAAGGGGAGCAGAAAAGAAGAGGGATATGAGAGGGTATTTGAATGGGTTAAAAACTACAGACAAGATACATCAAAGATTGAACGGTAAAAAGCATTTGATATAAAGACCAGAAATAATAAAAGAGATCCAGAATATAGATCCTCCAATAACAAATTGCTTGTGGACAGCCACTATCCATCAGCTAAGATATTTAAAAGTCCCTCTGATCAGACATCTTGGAACTTCAACACCTGTATAGTGATGGAGATATGAAAGGACATTTTTGATGTCTCAACAAGGTGATAATGTCCCGATGCAGGTGACAATCTCCTCATAAACAAGAACAACTATGGTAATACTACCACCGTTGCAGAGTTACTAGAAATACTGCACCATAGTCTTTCAGATGTCTTTAGTTTTCACCTAACCAGTTTTTAAGTTTACAAATCTATTCTGTGTATGCAGTTATGTCACAAAAGTAAACATAACTTTCAATTTGTTTCTCTTCTTTGAACAATTGGCAATAACCTCCTAGTATTAGAAAACCTAACGCATATGATAACTTTCAAGGTTTTCAACACTGTGACTCCACTTATTTTCAGTATTTCACAAAATCAGTTAGTTCATTTTAGCCTAGCAATTTCCCTAAAAAACCTACTACCTCCATATTAATTTAACATATTATGTCAATTCATAGGAAATCAGAGGTATTGACATACCTCTACATTCTCTAGACTCAAAGCCAATGTAAAAGGTTCGGTTCCCATGAGATCTGCAGTCAAATAAACTATAATTACCTTATACAATTTAGAACTTAATTATGTACTATATGTTTATTGCTCACTGTTTTTATATACATAAGTCTACACTAGATCCTTCCAATTCCCATTAAAAAATTCCTAGTATAAGTTCTCCAACATTTTATTTTATCACTAAACAAATGCTTATTGAAGGCTTGCCATGTGTTAGGTGTTATTCAATGTGCTAGAAACATAGGGAATGAGCAAATCACAATCCCCACCCTCAATGGACTCATCCTCCAGTGATAACATTAGATACCCATTCCTTCCCCAACCTTATCAGTGTCTAGCTGTTGAATATTGCTGAAGAAGTTCACAAAATATTATATGTTTCATCACTGGGCTTACCTGACCCGTATCTAAGCCTGCAAACCATACTCATTCTGTAAACACATCTCAAGTGATACATTTTTACAAAATCTCTTCTGGCATTTCTCTATTAGATGCAATACCATGCTGCTCTAAAAACACCAAATATTGTCTTACTAAACTCTCTGATAAAATTATTACTTGTATATTTAATTTTATCCCTTCTCCATTTTGACTGTATTTCAAAGTGTTCATGTCATACTGATCTTTACATTTCCTTTGTACCCAAGCCTCATGTCTTATAGAACGTAGATGACTCAATATACGTTTTACCATTGATTTTGTTCTTTATTCATTTTATCCAATAAACAGTTTCTTAGGTCTGTGTCAGATGTTGTGGAAAAATTTACACTTCCTTGATGTCAGTGTTAAAATAATCTATAATTGAAAATCAAATAACTTATTCACATCCTAAGTACTATAATAAAGCGTGAAAAATATAGGGAGGAGAAGTCTTTATTCAGAAGTCAATCTGTTTCACAAGATCTTTGTGGGTACACAATCATGACATACCTTTTTATTTACTTCAAATGTTTCATATGTTATTCTTGTTCACATGTTCAAATTGTTTTTTGAATTTACTAAAGATAACTGTTTTGCCATTTGGGTTAAAGTTGGCCAATATAGTTTGACCAATACTATCTACTTCTTTAATTCTTTAAGAGAACAAAATTCTGCCAATGTGGCACATACAAATGAAAGATAAAATTAATGCATGTTCTTATAAAGAACAGCTCATGATAGAGCATTTTCACAAAAAAGTAATGCCAGTAATGTCAATTGGTGATGGAGAAAAATTCAGAGATACTGGAGATAATTTTCCGCTATCATCCTGAAGCACCATGACTCTCACCACAAAATTAATGTCCTTTTTCCCCGACTTTTCACTTGGAAAAAAAAGGTAGAAATATACAGTATAGCTGTAAAATAATTGTTCTCCAGTAGGACTCATCAAAACATGTGTGAAACTTTCCCAGACATGCAAGTTTTATTGCATTAAATGGTATATATTAACTTTAGTGAAATTCTTGTTGACAAATTCTGCCAGCCTCTGTTTACTCCCTCTCTATGTACTATGTACTAAGCATACAGAGGGATTTGCTCATTGTAGCTGCCTCAAATTAAGCAAAACAGATTTTTACTGTGCTCAATTACAAATCGTCGTTTTCACTTCTGCCTTAAGAAGGCTTGCAAAATACAGTCTGGCCTTCTTGGAAGGAAATACCTGCTTGTGAGGAAAATTGTATCTAGCAGCCCAAAAGAGGAGCTTCGAAGCTCCTCAGGCATATGAAAAACGAAAGAAATCTCACAGATATTTCACAAATCCCATGTGGTGATATCTGAATGGTGTGTACTATTGTTTTAAATATAGATTAAAAAGGTAATAAAAATCTCTTTTAACTGGCCTGTAAGGCTTTGGGTAATGAAAATTTCAACTTCATTATACATTTTGTAGAAACTGACATTGGGCCTGATCTAAAGGAGGGACTCAACCCTAATTTTGGCAAGCACATAATTAAAAATAAGGTTATGAAAAGGCAGAGAATAATTTACATTAAATGATACAGATCTGAGAAAATTTCCAGACTGCTGACTGCATTGGAGTTGCAAGCTCAGCAACATTTCATAATAAGTAGCTCCCACAGCACATAAACTGAATCACTTGACAAAAGGCAGATGAGGAATTTGAAACCACTTTGGATTTGACATTTTTGTTGAAATTTAATTGAAAAAGTTATAGAAGTGAAGATAATGTGAGGAAGCAGTGCATAAATTATGGCATCTCTTTCACACAGTTTTATCACATGGCCTCATCACCTTCCTAAAAAATCATATCACTGATTTCCCAGACTCTTATATGACTAGAGTAATATAGATCACATCTCAATACATTATTAATTTAAAGTAATGAGTTTGAAAGCAAAAAGAAATGACTCTTTTAAAATTACATATTCATCTATATTCAATGTTGTTCTTGTTAGTAAAAACATGACAGCTTGCAGCATTTTTTTAATCTCGATTACATTCTAGACAGTCTCATGCTTCAGTTGAATATCTAAGATTAATTGAAATTGTTTAGAAAATTACATGAAGGAACAAAATGTTATCTGATAAATATTCATCAAAAGTGTCAAGTTCTATTGTATTTAAACTTGAATAAGCTAGTCCATTATTAGTATGGTTGAAATACTTAATACTATTTAATTCTTGGTACATAGCAAAGATTCACTCATATATAGTAAGAGAAACAGACATAAATACAAAAACAATTGGTTGCTAATGGTAATTAAAATTCTCTTTTTAAAGTATTATAAGTAGAACAAAACATATCCATTACATTGATTATTACTAATAAAATTATGTAAAAACTTTGTAACTGTTGCTTAAATGTAAAGACTTCAATCTCATTCTGAATTAACCAGATCAGATTGCATCTTAAACTTATATATTATCCTCTGCATTTGAGATATTTTCTTATAAAAGTAACTTCTACTTTTGAAGAACTCATAGCTAACTGGAAAGAGGAAAAATAAGCAACAAATAAAGTGTAGTCAGGAAAAAGTAGGAATAAAGAGGGGGAAGTGACAAGCACTAAGGTTTGGAGAGATGCAAGGGTACTTTAAGAGGTTTGAGTAGGAAAGTATTTATGGAGAATGGAGAATGAGTTGGGGAAGTTGATTGTAGGTCACATTTTTAGCATACAATTCCCCTACTTTCCAAAAAAATAAATGTTTTCCTTCTCATTTTTTAATGGAATGTCTTCTGAACCTACTTTTTTTCAGTTTTAGAATCTGAAGTTCCATATTGAGGCTTCATCATAATTTCAGTTATCAGAGAAATCTAGCAGGAAATTTATTTTCTTTGAATATTGGAAATAAAAATGTGGACACATTTTAATCAGTAAGTAAGTGTGTTGATTGTGTTACTAAGTTGAAAAGTGGCAATCAATAGCCAAACCTTCATCTTACAAGCAATGGCTTATCAGTACTATGCAGGGTTACTATTTAAATAAGCGTATTTTACACATTAGCCGAAGAAAGATACCATAAAGCAACAGGTGCTCATCAATACTGGCACTTTGAATGCTCTGATACTTCTTATATGTTTAAGAAAAAAGGAGGAGAATCATGAAAAAAGTCACTTTTCTAAAAGAGAGTTACTGAAAACTATAAGATAAAGGCATAAACATATGGTCCAATGCTTTAAACTTTCAACCTGACTTCTGTTCAATAGAAATAATTATATAAGTCCAGTAAATACTTTAAGAAAAAACAACATTTTCTAAAGGAGAGTCGCTGAAAGCTATAAGATAAAGGACTAAACATATGGTCCAATGCATTAAACTTTCAACCTGAGTTTTGTTCAATAGAAAAAACTATCCAAGGCCAGTAAATAAGAAAGAACAGCACAAAAAAATAGATATGGTTGATAGATAAAATAATTAATAAACCAAATAACACTTTATAGAAAATGTTATGCCTCTCATAGCATTAATTGTTTTTAAAAAGTTACACAATATCATAACTGAGAAAAATAACATATCTTAATTGCATCTTGTGAACTCTCAGTCAAGTGGTGTGGCATGGCCATTTTTAACCCAAATCTGTACTTTTCCTAATTTTATAGATTTAAAACACATATTCTAAGCCATTTTTACAAAGAGTTTTAATTTTAAATCAGTGGATATTTATCATTTGTTTTTATTAATATATTTTTATTTCAATGTAACTGCCTCTAAACCTAGAAATGATATTTATTTTACCTTTCAGCATTTGTATTATTTCAGTTTTTGGCACAGCTTAATTTTTATTCATTTCAGCACAGAAATATTCCTTTTATGTGTAAGGTAAAAAGCAAGATCTTAGAGGTTATAAATAGAAGTTTTCATGCTTTTGTGCTATTTTCATTCATTGTGAGTCTGTCTTGTTATTCAATAGCTTATTTAACAAATAACTGTGAACACCTGCTACATGCTAAGTCATGCTGCTCTAATTGCTGAAAAACAGCCTAAGACAGAGAGACCATTGCTGCACTCATCCACTCAAATTTCCTCATTCTTAGAGTGACTTTCCAGGGTGAGTACAAATGATCAGAATAAATTTTCAAATGAAACTCTTAGTCTTGTGGTCACAAAGTCTTAAATTTTTGATGTTGTTTATATCTTCAAAGGACCCAAGCTGTTGTTCAGCTTGTGAATTGCAAAATAAGTTCTAATATAGCACTGAAAATAATGGCTTTTATACGCAATAGGGGCATTAGGTTATTGGGCCTATTTGTGTATGTCACTTTCTTGAACACAGCATGCAACGAACACTTCAGTCATACAGACTGTATCTTCAGACAACATGAAAGCTCAAATATTTCCTTCTCGGAAATGCAGTGAGGAAACTGACTGTTGAGCTACATCTCTTTTTCAGAAAAAAAAGGAACATCTTAGTTTTTCATGATTATGGGGGCTGCATTCATGAAAAAAAAATAAGGATTATGGTAACTCCTCTTATAATTTAATAGTCTCACGGAGAAAAGTGCAGGGCTGAGAAAAACATGAATAGAGAACTCTTTCATTCTTTCATATGTTAATTTATTGAACATATAACTAAGTATTAGCAGCTATGTGGCAGGTCATACTATAGGTAATAACATATTGACCAAAACAAACAGACGTGGTGACTGTACAGGTTAGTTAACTTATAAAACAGTGTTTTCATAATTTAAAAATCTATTTGTAATAAATTTTCCTAAACTTACTTAAAAATATTGAATAAAGAAAATATTAATGACATTCTTGTTTCTTAAATAATAATATGAGTTGTATAACTATTTTGCATCCAGCAGAAGATCTGCTGACATGCTTACATTCCTGGCAATTTTGCAAAATTCAGGTAAGACTATTTTGCACTGAAACAGAGTTTTAAAAACTCTATCACTCCCTTTGATTTTTAATTGGAAATTTCAATGGCCTTTTGAATGTATATTTTGCAATTGTTGATCTATTTTCCAACATAGTTACAAATATGTTTACCTGGAAGTATGGGAAACAAAATATTTAGATAGATTTTATGTAGTCTATTCAGTTTGGTACAATTGAAGGGGAACATTATGTCCATTTGAAAATATTTATCAACAATTATTCTCCAATGCATGGATGTATTGTTTAACCCATATAGAAAAAAATATAACAGTTTTTCCTGAGCTTTCAGGGTTAGAAGTCCTGGGTTTGATTCTCAGTTTAGCCACTTGCAAGCTATGAGATTTTGGCCAACTTTATTATACATTATGGGTTAGTAACCTTAATGACACTAATAATTGTATCTAATTAGATGTTTTAATATAATAACAAAGTACCTTGTACATTAAATGTCCAATATATTTCAGTAATCACTATTAACATTCTCTATGATAAATTTAGGTAAAAGTGCATCAAAACAAAACAAAACACTGTCCTATGAGCTTGTGTCCTATGAGATGTTTTAATATAATAACAAAGTACCTTGTATATAAAATGTCCAATACAGTTCAGTAATTATTATTAACATTCTTTGTGATACATTTAGCTAAAAGTGCATCAAAAGAAAGCAAAACGCTGTCCTATGAGCTTTATTTCCCTGTATTTATTCCAAAGCTGTATTGGCATATCCTCTACATTGAGGATATATCCTCTACTTCATGGTTTATTTTTCTCCTTAAAATCCCTTCTTATCTCTTTTATATATTGCCAAAAGGAATAACTGGCAGTTCCTGCGTAGGCAGTCTGAAAATCCTACAGTACCCAAAGTTAATTCAAGTTTGCAAGGACTTTTCATATTGCAAATTCATGATGAAAATTCAAGAACTTCTCATACTGCAAATTTCTTCAACTTACCATGATAATAATTAATATTTGTAGTACTGTCAACATTTAATGCAGTGATTATCAGTAATGTTTCTAATAGTATGAAGTGCTTTTCCATAATTTTGCTTCATAATTTTCACTTTAAGAAAGGTTACATCACTAGAATTTCATGCCATGTAACTACTGCTAATTGTGTACAATATCCCATATACTTATGGTGATCATACATCTTACTTTGCTTGAAATCATCTGGATTTACACCTTTTTCTTTGGTATAGTCTCAATTCCCAGCACTGTGATTGAGGGTCACCTTTCATATATTAAATAATGCAATTATTATAATGATATATTAAAAATGCAAACAGAACTATTTAAGAAATAACCAACTTCCTTACAGCTCAACTGCATTATGAGGCAAGTAATATCAAGTGGAAATGTTATAGCATACAGAAATAGGTATAGTCTCTAATGTAGAAGCATTTAAAGTCAGATAATTAGATTCATGAAACTTTTGTTATGACTGCATTAATGTATTTTAATATAGTAAACAGTAGCAATACCATTCTTCATTTCTATTAGTTTGTTTTAAAATATTTATTGTTTAAATAATTTAATCCATTTATTTGTACCAGGTATAAAATGATACAAAAAAGTATAAATTAAAAGTAAATCTTTCTTATTCCCGAATTCCAGTTATCCTATTTTTCTCTCCTGTCCTAAGCACTTCTTACCAGTTTCTACTCCTTTCATTTCAAGTTTGAGACTATTGTCTGACTTTCATTTTAACTGGAAATAAAATCATAGATGTTTATAGCATACAGAAACCGTAACAATCACTGACCACAACCCTCATCATCTGCCAAAGAGCATAGTCATAAAAATGTTAAATGATTTGCCCAAAGTCAGATAGTGACAGAGCTCAGAATTTTCCTGGAAGTGTATTCAATTGTTTCTCACACTTGATTGTGATCATTTGTTAGTAATAAGAGAAATTTAAGCATATGAACACACAGCCAGAATACTTGGGCTCCAGTGCTCATTTGGTTTCTCATTATGTTTCTGGCCTTGGGAAAATAGACTATTGCCTCACTCAGCCTGCTTCAGAGATGTATATATACCCATAGATAGGGTGGAGCAAATGAAAAAATAAATGTGAGGATACTGTAAAAGATAAGAATTTGTAAAAAATAAAAATGTCACAAAGTCACAGTAAAAATAGGCAGTGACTTTATCAAAATAATCGATACGATTTTTTTTTTTTTTTGAGACAGACTCTCGCTCAGTTGCTCAGGCTGGAGTGCAGTGGTTGGATCTCCGCTCACTGCAAGCTCTGCCTCTTGGGTTCAAGCCATTCTCCTGCCTCAGCCTCCCGAGTAGCTGGGACTACAGGCACCTACCACCACGCCCAGCTTATTTTTTTGTATTGTTTTAGTAGAGACGGGATTTCACCGTGTTAGCCAGGATGGTCGCGATCTCCTTACCTCGTGATCCGCCCACCGGCCTCCCAAAGTGCTGGTATTACAGGCGTGAGCCACCGTACCCGGCCAAGAATCAGTAGGATTTTAAAAGTATATGAGGCTGGGTGTGGTGGCTTATGCCTGTAATCCCAGCACTTTGGGAGGCTGATGGAGGCATATACCTTGACCTCAGGAGTTCAAGACCAGCCTGGCAACATGGCGAAAACCCCGTCTCATACAAAAAAAAAAAAAAAAAAAAAAAAAAAAGCTAGGCATGGTGGTGTGTGCCTGTAGTCCCAGCTACTCACTAGGGAGGCTGAGGTGGGAGGATCGCTGGAACCCGGGAGGCGGAGGTTGTGGTGAGCCGAGATCGTGCCACTGCACTTCAGCCTGGGCCACAGAGTGAGACCCTGTCTCAAAATAATTAATAATAATAATTATAAGCATATGAAAGTACATTAACAAAATATCCTAAGGTCAAGTCTTTAGTGGCTCATCACAAATGATATTTGGACTATTTAATTATAGCAATTTAATAAATCTGTCGTCAAAATCAAAAGTGACTATGGATACATAAACCTTAATAGAAAGAGCATCACAGTAAACTCAGGCTGACATAGAATGAAATTTGACATGCAGGAGCAAAGACTGAAATTGAACATTTCAGGGAAGGACTGTCTATAAATGTTGACATTGTTTAAATGTAAGCAACCACGTTGGTGAGAGACAAGGAACCTCATCTCTAAACGTACATGACAAGAACCTAGCATTCAAATAGCATTCACAAAAGGACATCATAATCCTATTATATGTGGCTGACAAATTTCAAACCTTCCAAAGTCTATAACCTACAAGATTAAAAAAATCTTTCAACATGATTTTTTTATTCAAGACCTCACATTTGACTGTCAGCCTAATTGGAAACTACTATAGAAGTTCATATGATAGATATCTTAGCACAAAGTAGTGCTCTGAAGGTCTAGAAGGGGTTCAAGTCTCAATTTCACAGCATTTCATTTCCAATTCCACTTGTATAAAAGCATGCTAACCCAGCACCGACAGAAGCAGAGCTACATCAAGACGGTACATGAGTAGGATTCAAATAAACCCTCTGACAGGAGAAATCACTCTCTTGTTCAAAGTATTTGTGGAAAATATTTGACTTCAACATTAACATAAGGGACAAAAGTGTCTTTATTAAGAGAAGAGAAATGCTGCAATCACATGCATGTATATTCACAGAAACTTCGTTGAATATACTATAAATGCTGGGATCTAACATGGTGAGGCAATAAACTTGATCTCATTGGCTTTGTATTGTTTGAATTTGAATTCTGGCTGACTTATTTGCTTTTTGATTATTTGACACATTCTTGGTTACTCTGAGCCTCAGTTTCTTTATGTGCAAGTACAGGTCATAATGGTACAAGCACCTCACAGAGTTGATGACAGCTAACTAAGAAAACACATGGAAAGTGTCCAGCACACTGTTAGTGTTCAGAACATGTTAACTATTATCATGAAGATGTTCAACAATTTCAAATAAGTGAAATAATCATTGCTTCTCTTCAAAAGGCATTAGTTTCTTAATTTACCTAGATGTATTTTATTCCCTTAATGGCCATTAGAGAAAAGCGAAGAAAACTAAAAACCATGAGCAGTGAAGGGAATAAGAAGTCTATTTTTAACTTTCATTTTAAAGTCAAAGCTACATGTGCAGGTTTGTTATATAGGTAAGCTTGTGTTATGGGGGTTTGTTGTACAGATTATTTCATTACCAGGTATTAAGCCTAGTACTCACTAGTTATTTTCCCTGATCCTTTTCTTCTGTTGGAAGGTTTATTTAAATCCTACTCATGTACTGTTTTGATGTACCTTCCACCCTCCACCCTCCAATAGACCCCGTGTCTTTTGTTCCCCTCTGTGTGTCTATGTGTTTTCATCATTTAGCTCTCACTTACAAGTGAGAATAGGTGGCATTTAGTTTTCTGTTCCTGCATGAGTTTGCTAAAGATAATGGCTTTCAGCTCCATCCATGTGCCTGAAAAGGACATGATCTCATTCATTTTTATGGCTGCATAGTACTCCATAGTGTATATGTACCATATTTTCTTTTTTGAATCTACTGTTGATGGGCATTTAGTTTGATTCCATGTCTTTGCTATTGTGAATAGTGCTGCAATGAAAATACATTTTCATGTTTCTTTATGACTGGATGATTTATATTTCTTTGGATATATACCCAGAAATGGGATTACTGGGTCAAATAGCTTTTCTATTTTATAGGTCTTTGAGGAATCTCCACACTATTTTCTGCAACAGTTGAACTAATTTACACTCCCACCAACAGTATAAGCATTTCTTTTTCTCTGGCAGCATTTGTTATTTTTTGACTTTGTAATAGCCATTCTGACTGGTGTTAGATGGCATCTCATTGTGGTTTGATTTGCATTTCTCTAGTGATCAGTGATGTTGAGCTTATTTTCCCTATGCTTGTTGGCCACATATATGGTTTCTTTTGAAAAGTGTCTGTTCATATCATTTGCCCAATATTTAATAGGGGTTATCTGTTTTCTTCTTGTAATTTGTTTAAGTTCCTTATAGATGCTTGATATTACACCTTTGCTGGATGCATAGTTTGCAAAGCTTTTCCCCATTCTGTAGGTTGTCTGTTTATGTTGTTGAGAGATTCTTTTGCTTTGCAGAAGCTGTTAAGTTTAATTACATCCCATTTGTCAATTTTTGCTTTTTCTGCAATTGCTTTGACGTCTTCATCATGAAGTCTTTGCCCATTCCTATGTCCAGAATTGTATTGTTTAAGTTGTCTTCCGCAGTTTTATAGGTTTGGGTTTTACGTTTCAGTCTTTAATCCATCTTGTTAATTTTTGTATATGGTGTACGAAAGGGATCCAGTCTCAATCTTTTGCATATGGCTAGCCTGTTATCCAAGCAACATTTAGAAAAATAAGTCTTTTAATGATTGATTAGCTCGTTAATTGGAGATGCATGTAAGAAGTAGTAACTCAGATACTCAACAAATGAGTACCTGCAGAAGAAACAAACCCTGAATGATATTAGTCACTAGACAACTGAGCAAGCTTACATGAGTGCCTTTTGCTATCTGAAAGGAGAACCACACTAGCCTTCGTATATATCCATCTGCTTACCCCTACTGCACATTTTGAAACAACATAATACTCTTCTTGCGTGAAAACAGGGTGAGGTTGGGTGAGGTGGCTCACACCTGTCATCGCAGCACTTTGGGAGGCTGAGGCAGGTGGATACCTTGAGTCCAGGATTTCGGGACCAATCTGGACAACATGTTGAAACCTTATCCCTTCAAAAAGTACAAAAATTAGCCAGGTGCAGTGGCGAGTGCCTGTAGTCCCAGCTACCCAGGAGGCTGAGGCAGGAGAATTGCTTGAACCCAAACTTGGGAGGTGGAAGTTGCAGTGAGTCAAGATTGTGCCACTGCATTCCAACCTGGGTGACGGAGTGAGCCCCTGTCTCAAAAATCAATAAATAAAAAAGAAAAGAAAGAAAGAAAGGAGGGTGGCTCAGAAATAAAATATAGACTGGCAAATATATGTTTTGTTTTGATAATGTTCAATCTAAAGAAAACCATTTCTAACTTAAAGATAAGGAAAATAGTATAACTTGAAGATGTACCTTTCATTCATACTCAAATATATTAATCAGCGCCCTTTTACATTTCTTCCCTTCTCCATTGTCACAACGCTAACCCAATGTACCACCTTGCAAAACCCTCCTAAATGCTTCTACTTTAGTTGGCTTACCATCTAAATTCCGCATACGGGTCAAAGCATTCACTTAGCAATTTAAATCTCATGATGTGATTCCCCTGCTTAAAGACCCTCTATTAACTTTCCACTGTAATCAGAAAAGAGAAAAATAAATGAACAACAACACCACCATTAAACATTAAAGCCAATTAATATTAAAGTCTCATAGGTATCAATCCTTTCCCATTTGTCTGATTTCATCTCAAAATACTCTCTCGCTCTAGTTTATTATACTCCATCATGATCATTATAGTCCAGCCAAACAAGTCTTTTTATTCTTCAGAATACCTTGTAAGTTTTTGTACCTTTTATTAAAATCCTATTTTAATGAAAATCTGCTTCTCAAAATTTTCATTGAGTTACCATTAACTTGCAATTTAAGTAGGTGCTCCTCATAGAAATTCTTGACTTCAAAATCTAAGTTTCCATTTTCTCTCTCTCTACCTCAATAAGACTCTGTTTGCTTCTTCATTGTTTTTAATCACTATTTGATTTATTTTTATTTTGTTTTATTATTATTATTATTATTATTATTATTATTAATATTTTGAGACGGAGTCTTGCTGTCTTGCCCAGGCTGGAGTGTAATGGTGTGATCTTGGCTCACTGCAACCTCCACCTCCCAGATTCAAGCAATTCTCCTGCCTCAGCCTCCCGAGTAGCTGGGATTACAGGTGCATGCTGCCATGCCCAGCTAATTTTTTGTATTTTAATAGGAACAAGAGTTTCACCGTATTGCACAGGCTGGTCTCAAACTCCTGACCTCAGGCAGTCCACCCGCCTCAACCTCCCAAAGTGCTAGGATTACAGGCATGAGCCACCCCGCCTTGCCATTTTTATCACTATTTGAAATTACATTTATACAATAATTTGTTTATCATTATTGTTCAGCATAGCATCCCCTATATTTAATCACAATTGATTAGTAAGTTTCCATTAATATATTATTAAATGAATGAACAAATAGGTCTGAGGAAATGAAGTAAAGATAAATAGATTTTATATTGTCGGCTACCCTGTGCTATCGTCAGACAAGGGCCTACACTGTAGAGACTCCTGGGTCCAACCAAAATCTCAGACAACTTTTTATTATTCCTTCTTTTAATTTATCATTTGGTCTTTAATCTTTTCAGCTACTTCTTTCCTTTAGTGGTTGTAATTTTTTTCCCTTGATTTCTGTATTTTGGTATTCCATGCAATTGTTAAGAACAAAACAAAATAAAACCAAAAGAAACAAACAAAAACACCCTGATGCTTTTCTTCCTGTAATACTACTAGTTGAGAATAAATTTGAATTTTGTCATTATTTTATTTCCATTTTTCAAGTTATTAATAAGGTTGAATAATTTTTCTTATGTTTCTCGGAAATTTGTTTTTACTCAAGAAGCAATTTGAGCCCTGATTTCCTTTCCTGGTTCCCTGACAGCACACTCTACAAGTTGCTGTGGGAAGCTTGAAGACTGGCATACAGAAAGCATGGTTGCAGTGTTCTCAGAACTGAGGCCCAACCTTTTCTTCCTAACCTCTTCCCCTATTCTGAACGCTAGAATCCCTTTCTTCTCCTCTCCCCTTTCTCCATGATATAAGCCATTGACTTAAAACCTTGTCCTACCAACTTAGACTGCTTTACTTTATATTTCTCCTTTTCAATCCTCCTACTGGAGAAATTCAAGCCAAAAGAACTCAAGTTGCATTCACGAGATTCTACTTATCTTTCCTCATCTTATTGTTATACCTATTTTATTTTTATTTGCATTCCATTCTTTAAATGATCTTTCATTTATTAACATATACACATTTTAAGCTTATTATCAATTAATGCTTGTTCTTTATATTTTAGGGCTCATATTACCAGGTTTTAAATGTTTTGTTTTATTAACTTGGGCCTTTTATTTTATTTATCTTAACTACATCTTCTTTTTAATCGTTTGCATTCTGTACATTTCATATTTTAACTCATTCAAGTGTCTTAATAATTATGAAAGGTATTTAAAAAGATGCTAGATACAAAATAAAAATTACATATTCATTCAAATGCATCCATGTGTAATTTTGTTCTTTAAGCAATAATTATCTTTAATTATATTTTGTTCTGTATTTTATTTTTTATTTTATTTTACTTTATTTGAGACAGGGTCTTTCTCTGTTTCCCTGGCTAGAGTGCAGTAGCAAAATCACAACATGCTCTAACCTCCACCTCCTGAGCTCAAGTGATCTTCCCACCTCAGCCTCCAGAATAGCTGAGACAATAGGTGCACCCACAAAGCCTGATTAATTTTTGTATTTTTTGTAGAGATGGGATTTTGCCGTCTTGCTCAGGTTGTTCTCAAACTCCTGAGTTGAAGTGATCCACCTGTCTCGGCTCTCAAAGTGCTGGGATTACAGGCTTGAGCCACCATACCTGGCCTATTTAGTCTACTTTAAATTGCAAACATCCACTTATCACTCTCCCTTCTTTGTTCTAACGTGTACCGTGTAGAATATTACAAAACACAGAGACACATACAACTGAAATTAATACACATAATGTATGTTTTTTTATCTTTTTGTTATGTATGTATATACATTTCAAATTCGTACTAATGTTATCATATTTGGCAGGTCTGAAAATGGAAATATTCTCTCCTATATCATATTGCATCGTGTGTGTTCTAGAAAGGTCACTTATGGAGGCTAGTATTCATTTTAGAAAGCATGCTATCAGTGTTCTTCATTCTGCCTATTGGATGGATTGAACTTCACAAAACCCTGTCTTTCACTTAACACTAGTTAGATACAAGATTAAATTTTGATAAATGTTTGATTCCCAGAGTAGCTTGTCTATGAGAACATTTCAGTTGACAGCATGAATCACTCATTAAATCAGGTATTGAATCACATAAAACCACAAAGCAGAGCAGTTTCCAACGGTAATTAAATCACGGTCCGTGAAATCACGTTCTAGAGCTGGAGCTAATTACTGCTTTCTGTGACTACTGCTGCAACATGGTCACTGGAGCACAGGAATAAAGTCAATACCGGATTTACCCAAAGTTAGATGGTTTTTAAGAGTTAATATGTGGAAAGTTCTGAAATGTGTGGCTGAAGACCATGTGACTATATAAAAAAAGGAGGCCATAGTACTTTAAAAACCTTCCTACCAACCCATAAAAATATGAAGTGACTGATAACTACAAATGTTGTCATTTATAATATATATATTTTATGCCCACTTTACGTCCACTGTCTATGTTGCTCAAAGACAATCCATATTTCACTTTTCTATCTGCCACTACATTAATTCTATGGAGAGAATATAATAAATGCCAAGTTATTATCTAACAAATGGACAACTCAATATATGCCATTATTTGAATTTTAATCCATTATAGTTGCCTACTTAGCATCAATTGTGCTAAACAAAATACATTATTTGAGAAAGCAAGGGGTAACTCAGATGAACAATAGATAAATAATTAAAATGTATATCTGCAAAGTCACAAAGGCTTATTCCACTGTATGTCTCTTGCCAGCTGTGTGAAGATCTTAGGAAGGCTGAATGCCTGTTTAGAGTTACAAATTTTCTTGCTTATAATTCTGATATTTTCTGACATTACTGACATTAATCTATATTTGAGAGAGATGTAATGAAGTTTAAGAACATAATGCCTGTAAAATACTTAGCAATTGAAACACAGGCACTGATAAATATTGCTGGACATACAATAAGCACCTAATAAATGTTATTTAATGATCTTGTTGAAACAATCATAATATTGCATGCGATTTTAAAATTATAGACATAATTTTAAATAGAATAGATGAATAGAAATAATATCATAAAACTGAGGCTAAATATCCACTTGGTAATGCAAATGTTTCTGAATGTATTGTCATACAAAAAATTAAAAAAAAAAATTAGTTGAATTGGAACAACTTATTCCTGATTACATATTCCCACTGTTCAGCTCTACTGCAGATTGTATCACCATAGAGTTCAATGTAATAATAGAATACACATAAAATAAAGCACTACAGTCTCATATGATTCGTGAAAATATTATGCTTTTTAGAAATTTCCTTTTCAATTTTCTCACCTATTACTACATTAAATAGTCTCAGTTTATTGATCTGGGCAAGGAGGGTTAACCCAAGCACTGATATCATATATGAATCATTACTTTATTCAATGTGCACAAAAGTATTTATTGATATTATTAATCAAATGGCATTTTTCCTAAATTGATTTGGTTTATAATATTAGGAAGGTTTAGGTTTGAAAACTGAAGGCCTACACTTACTATTGCTCACTTACTATCTGCATAACCAAGTGCAATGCCTTAGTTTCCACATCTCTAAATTGAAAGGAAAACACAAACATGTAGTTTGGGTTTATATTCAAAGTCAAATGAGCTAATTTTGTGAAAGGACCAAGTATTATGTATAATTAATTTATACAATATATTATAGATCACAAAATTCTAAGAAATATATAGATAATTCATATTTCTCTGAATTTCATATAGGTGCCAGCAAAAATAGGTTTAATGAATACCTTTCACAAGAAAAATGGATAATAGGGGAAGCAAAATAAAATGAGAAGAAAATTAGAAAACAATTGTTTTCAAAAAAACGATTTTATATGCTAAGAAGTTTCTCATGGACTAATAGTATTTGATAGTGTTTTTGAAAAATAAAACTAATTGTAGTTGATACAGGAGAAAAAACAATACAATGAAGAAGTGATAGCCATTTCAACTTAGGGCATATAGTTATGGAGTAACTGAACACCACATCAAAAAAAAATGGAATCTAGGCACAGGCCTTAGACTTTCACAAAAACAAAATAAAAATTAATCACAGTCCTAAATGTAAAATGCAAAATTACAAACTTCCTAGAAGAAAAAAAGGAGAAATTCTCGATAACTTTGGGGTTGGCAATGATTTTTTAGATACAAAGCCAAAGGCAAATTCTATGAAAAAAATTGATGAACTATACTATATTGATATTAAAATTTTCTGTTCTCCATAAGACAATGGCAAAAAAATGAAAATATAAGTCACAGATAATATTTGAGAAGACACATCTAATAAAGTAATGTTAGGCAAACATACATAGAAACTTTAAAAACTCAACAAAAAGTAAGACATCCAATTTATAAAAAGCGAAAAACCTTAACACTTCACCAAGGAAGATACATAGTTGTCAAATAAGAATATGAAAAGACATTCCACATCATATATCACAAAGGAAATGCAAATTAGAACAACAAGTAGATGCTACTATATACATTTTGGAATGGTCAAAACCCAGAACATTGATTATGCTGGCAAGGACATGGAGAAACAAGAACTCCCTTTCACTGCTGGTGGAAATGCAAAATGTTATAGCCACTTTAGAAGACAGTTTGACAGCTTTTTACAACATTAAACAGCCTTCACCGTATGATCTAGCAATCACACTCCTTGGTATTTACCCAAAGGAATTAAAAACTTTCATTCATAGAAAACCTGCACAAAGATGTTTATAGAACCTTTATTCATAATTACCAAAATGTGGAAGCAACCAAGATGCCCTTCAGTAGATTAATGGATAAACTGTGCTACATCTAGACAATGGAATATATTACTCAGGGCACTAAAATGAAATTAGCTACTGGCCAGATGCGGTGGCTTACGCCTGTAATCCCAGGACTTTGGGAGGCCGAGGAGTGGGGGATCACGAGGTCAAGAGATTGAGAACATTCTGGTCAACATGGTGAAACCCCGACTCTACTAAAAATACAAAACTTAGCTGGACATGGTAGCGAGTGCCTGCAGTCCCAGCTACTCAGGAGGCTGAGGCAAGAGAATCACTTGAACCCGGGATGGGGAGGTTGCATTGAGCCAAGATCGTGCCACTGCACTCCAGCCTGGCAACAGAGCAAGACTCATTCTCAAAAAAGTAAATAAATAAAAATTAAACAAAAGATAAAAAAGAAATTAGCTACTAAGCTGCAATGGACTAATCTTTCTTCTCCAAAATGTCAACATTCAAATATTAAATCCTTACCCCAAGGTGATGGTATTAAAAGGTGGGGTTTTGGGAAGTGATCAGGTCATGAGTGGAGCTCTCATGAATGGGATTAGTGCCCTTATAAAATATTCCCAAGATAACTCTTTTGTCCTTTCCACCATATGAAGACACAATGAGAAAGTACTCTCTATGAATCAGAAAGCTGGTCCCACTGACATCAAATCTGCTGTTACCTTTATCTTGGACTTTCCAGCCTCCCAAACTGTAAGAAATAATTTTTGTTGTCTATAAACTACCCAGTCTATTGTATTTTGTTATAGCCATCAGAATAGACTAAGACATGAGCTATGAAGAGAAATAAGCAAGTATATTACTAAGAAGCCAATATGAAAATGTTACATGCTGTATGATTCCACCTATATGACATGCTGGGAATGTCAAAACTATGGAGACAGTGAAATGATCAGTAATTGCCTGAGGTTGAAGGGAAAGATGGATAAATAGGCAGAGCACAGAGGATTTTTAGGGTAGTGAAACTATTCTGTATGATGCTATAATGGTAGACACATGTCAATATAAATTAGTCCAAACCCATATAATGTACAGCACTGAGAATGAACCCTAAGGTAAACTGTGGACTTTGGGTGATAACGAAGTATTACTATAGACTCATCAATTGCAACATATGTACCACTCTAGTGGAGGATATTGGTAATAGTGGAGGTTGTGCATTTTTGGGGCAGGGATATATGGGAAATCTCTGTACCTTCCTCTCAATTTTGATGTGAATCTAAAACTGCTTTAAAAAATCTTTAAAATGATAGTGGCCAATATTTTTGGACACTATAATAAAAGATGTATGTGAATTGCCTCATTTATCCCCAAAACAACCCTATGAAATACATATCATTTTGAATCTCATCATTATGAGCCCCATATTGGCTTTACAATACCTCAGTTTCAGAACAGCTATTCAAATTGTCCAAGGGAACATTTGGTAAATTGTCCACTCAAACTTGTGTTGTGTGACTCCAAAATCCATACTTTTAATCTCTATAATTTACTATGCCTCTATTTTTTGTTAACTGAAAATGTACATAAGTAGACTCTCCTAATAATTTTCTGAATAATACTTTCTACAACTTAAAAAACCTGGACGTTTTATAAAATACAGTTTCTCTTAGCCAGTAAAATTTTTCTAGCAGTGTCATATAAAGTCATTATAAAGCAGTGGCATAGTATATCTCAACATTCCTAATCTCTCTATTTTTTCCTCTCACATTTCAATTCTGAAACAATATATCTGTCACTTGTCAGGGTGGTAGTGAGAATACAATTTTATATAAACATTGAAACTCTCTGCAGAATATAATTTTATTGTGCCATTTTTCCCTCATACTAGTTGTAAGGCACTAAAGAATGGACATGGGGAGAATTACCATCTTTATCTGTATACATGGGGAGAATTACTATCTTTTTTCTGTATATGTGTGCATGTTTGTATGTATTTCTGTTGAAGAGGGCATATTTCTTGTATTATTAAAATTAATTGGCAGGTTTACTGAAAAGTAGAACCAACAGATACGCATAAACATTATAAATCACATTAACAGTATTCAAATCAACCTGTTTATTTCATTTTATGATATTACAAGTCAAGCTCCCCATAAAGCTGTCCAAATTATTTCTGCATTCACACATACTTCATAATCTGACACTCAAATAAAAAGATTCATGCTTCTGGGACTCCAAAGTTATCAGAAGGTAAACAAACAACTAGTAGAAAGTATGCTGTTTATCCTGTGATAAAGGCTGTTGGCTTGAATATTTCACATTTTGCTGGGATCAAATCAGGATATTAAATATTTTGTTTCATGCCTTTAGATGAAGCAATCCTGAGTCAAGCTATGCAGCATGATCATGTTATGTACAAGGAATAGTTCCTATTTTGCCAGGTTTCTACAGTTGTGAGAATCTAAGCAGAGAAGCACTTCCAGAAAGCAATGGGAAAATATTAGTCACCATAAATACATATGGAAAAATCTCCTAATGAAAAGATTCTCAAGCAAGTGTTCTATTAGAGATTATTTTTGACTCTTCTTAGGGCCTGACATACAAGTAATTATCTAGGAGTTACTGCTACTAGCACTATAATTACTACCACTACTGCTACTTGTGTAAATGACTGGATTTACTCATCAAAATAACTTAATTGATTGACACTTTCAACAGATTTAATAGATTATCTGACATCCTGTAGATAAATGCAAAGTCTGCTGCTACCTTTCCTTTCAGCCATGGTAGTGACAATGTAACATCATGCCTGAAATCCCTTGCACGTGCCTGAAAAGCACACATGTGTGCACACAAAGGTACTCATATTAGGTTGGGGCATATAATCTCTATTATATGCTGAGAAAAAAATTGAAATCATTGTCATTTAATTAATAAGTGTCTAGTTTCTGCACCTCTGATTCTTAAAATATAACTTTTTTTTTCACTGAGGGGATAGCTACTTATACTAAAATACCTAAATCTGTTAGCAGCATATTTTTCTCAAAAAGGTACTATGAGCCAAAAGACCTAGGATGTCAAAAGCAAATCAAGCATAATGTAGTTACGAGTTTTCATTTACTTCTAATTCTCTTCATCAGTAAAGCTTTGTGATAATTTTGATAGTACCAATTTATACTTGTGAAGCAAATGAAAACAAAGACATTTTAACTGTGAGTGAAAATAACAAAGGTGCTAAACTATTATCATTTGAGACATCATAAGCACAAACGATTATTTTTGGGTGACTTTTTAACAGGCTCCCAAATCATTATCACAATAAATAGAATATTTTAAAAAATCTCAATGAGATGTTATTTTTCTTTATCATCTGTCCTCTCCTTGCAGTTTAATAGCAAAATATCTGGATGAAAGATGAAAATATTCAGCCAGCTAATTAGAAGGGCTGTCCACAGGAAGCTCAGCAATAGGACTTGTCTACAGATGTGAGACACAAATAAGAATCACAATTTAAAAATAGAAGACAAATAATGTCACTCCCCTGATTTCTTGCTACATTTAAAATAAATACAAATTCCATATCTAGAAATAAAGTTTCCTGTCTATAGCTCTGATCTTATCTCCTACCATCTACTTCCAATCCCCATTCTTATCCTCTAGCACAATGTCCTAATCTGTTCCTCAAATTATTGAACTCCTTTTCCCCTTTCATCTAACCAGAAAATGTAATGCTCACCCTTTCCCCCAGTTATGGTAATGTTGACTTTGAATCATTCAGGTTTCGGTTCAAAGGTCCCCTCCTTAGAAAGGTCCTGTTGTATGACTCTACAGTAAGGCAACCTCAGCACTATCCAGTCACTATCATGTCTATCACTTTGCTTTGACTTTCTTCAAAACACATACTGTTGGCTTAAATAGTCTTGTATGTATCTGTTTACATGCTTTTTAACTGTTTTACCACTCTATGAACCCAGGAGAGTAGATACTGTTTCCTTACCAATGCCCTTCTGCCCAGCATCTAGAAGAGCTCCTAGAACTTTTAAGAAGTCAAAATTATTTGTGAAATAAGTGAAATAACAAAAATAGTGGATTCTTAGTATACTGTTAATAAAAACTAAAGCTCCATTAGAATAGTTAGACCAGTTTATTTATAGTCTATGCTGTTTGTTTAGTTTTCTACAAGTTCTTTGGCTTGTCTTTCTCCTTCTTAAACTTTAAAGTTCTCTAGACAATGCTCAGATACGTGCTATTTCATACCGACTAAGAATAATTTGGTTAAATGGAGATTAAAAACTATGTCGTGATTGTGATTCAGTTTTTATTACTGTTATTGATTGCTTTGGTCAAAATACAAAGGCCACTTTATACATACAAGTCCCACTATTCCCCAAACACAGTATTTTCCATAATTTATTAATTTTTATTTACACATTTATTTTTGTTCACATATGTCAGGAATTTTTTTTGCTTTATTTATATGCTATTTACTTATCACAAAAATTGTCAGCTTATTATATTTTTAATCGACGTATAAGGGTATTTTCTTAAAACTTTTTTTTTCTTAACAGCAGTTCTCTCTTATTTCTCCCTTAATATCTGTTTCTTTCACCAGGATAAATGTGTGTGATTTTATTTTAATTTTTAATAAAAGAATCAATTCTCTGGTTAATCAGTTCTACTTTTTTAAATTAATTAATTTATATTTAAGTTTTTTACTGTTCTCTTGGGATTGATTTGTTTTATTCTAAGATCTGTAAGTGAATGCAAAAGTAACATTTATTTTTTTTTAATTTGAGTTGTTTCTAATTAGAGATTGGATTGTTAATTTGATATGCAGTGTTCTCTGTATCACATTTTATAAATATTGTTCCTTTCTCTCAAAACTATTTTTTTAAGTTTTCACAAATTACATGAGGCTTTTATTTTATTTTATTAATTTATAAATTTATAGTCTTATTTGTGAGTCTTGGGATTGATTTATTTTATTCTAAGATCTGTAAGTGAATGCAAAGGTAACTTTTTTTTTAATTTGAGTATTTGAGTTATGTTTCTAATTAGAGATTGGACTGTTAATTTGATATGCAGTGTTCTCTGTATCACATTTTATAAATATTGTTCCTTTCTCTCAAAACTATTTTTTTAAGTTTTCACAAATTACATGAGGTTTTTATTTTATTTTAATTTATTAATTTATAAATTTCTAGTTTTATTTGTGAGTGAATAAAGTTCTAATGTTCGATAGCAGACTACAGTGACTATGCTTAATATTTTTTATACTACAAAATAACTAAAATGAGAACTTGAAATTATACTAATACACAAAAATGATAAATATTCAAGCTGTTGTATACCCCAAGTGCTCTAACTTGATCATTACACATTCTATGCATGTAATAAACACATCTACTCCATAAATATGTAAACTATTATGTATCAACAAACGAAGAAAAGAGAGACATGAAAGAGGTGATTTCTCTCTTGACCATGTGAGGATATAATAAAAAGATGGCTGTATACAAACCAGGAAAGGTATAATTATAGTTACTCTAGTCTGCTATCAAACATTGTAACTTATTTCTTCTATCTAACTGTATGACTGTACTCATTAACCAACCTCCCTTCATCCCCACAACACTTCTCAGGCTGTAGTATCTAACATTCTACTCTGTGTGTCCATGAGATCAAGTTTTTTGGTTCTCATATATGATTGAGAATATGTAGTGTTTGTCTTTTTGTGCCTGTCTCATTTCACTTAATATAACCTCCAGTTCCATTCACGTTGCTGCAAGTGACATGATTTTATTCTTTTTAACAACAGAATAGTATTCCATTATGTATATATACCACATTTTCTTTATTCACTCATTCATGGGTAGACACTTAGGTTGATTCCATATCTTTGTTATTGTGAATAGTGGTTTGACAAATATGTGAGTGCAGGTTTCTCTTTGGTATATTGATTTATTTTTCTTTGAATAAATACCCAAATACCCAGTAGCGGAATTGCTGGATAATGTGATAGTTCTATTTTTTTTTTTTTTTGAGAAACTTCCATGCTGCTTTCTATGGTGGTTGTACTAATTTACATTACCACCAACAGTGTATAAGAGTCTAATTTTCTCCGCAACTCTGCCAGCATCTGTTACTTTCTGTCTTTTTAATAACAGTCATTGCAACTGGGGTAAGATTATATTTTATTGTGGTTTTCATTTGCATTTCCCTGATGATTAGTGATGATGAGCATTTTTTCATAAGCCTGTTGGCCATTTGTATGTCTTTTTTTGAGAAATGTTTATTCGTGTCCTTTGCCAATTTTTAATGCGATTATTTGTTTTTTACTGTTGACTTGTTTGAATTTCTTGTATATTCTGAATATTGTTCTCCTGTAAAATAGGTAGTTTCAAAATATTTTCTTATATTTAAAAAGTTGTCTCTACAGTCTGTTAGTTTGGCTGTGCAGAATCTTTTTACTGTAATGTAGTGCATTTTGTCCATTTTTGTTTTATTTGCCTGTACTTTTGAGGTCTTAGCTGTAAATTCTTTGCCTACTCTAATGTCCTGAAGAGTTTTTCTTATGTTTTTTGTTATATCTTTGCATCAACATAATACTTGTATAGTTTCAGATCTTATGTTTAAGTTTTTAATCTATTATGAGTTTATTTTTGTATATGATGGGAGATAGGGGTCTAGTTTTATTCTTCTGCATGTAGTTATCCAGCTTTCCAAGATAAATTCATTAAAGAGACTGTCCTTTCCCCAGTGAATTTTCTTGGCAATTTTATCAAAGATCAGTTTCCTGTAAGCATGTAGATTTCATTTTGTGTTATCTATTCTCATTTATGCATACATTTTTATATAAATGCCATGCTCTTTTGTTCACCATAGGCGTGCACTATGCTTTGAAATAAGGTAGTATGATTCCTTCAGCTTTGTTTTATTTTGCTCAGGATTTCTTTGGCTCTTCTGGATATTTTTTTGTTTCAAATGAATTTTAGGATATTTTTTATTTCTGTGAAAAATGATAGTGCTATTTTCATAGGGATTACATTAAATCTATATATTTCTTGGGGCAGTATGGTCATTTTAATATTAATTCTACCACTCCAAGACCTTGGATGTCTCTCCATTTGTTTGTATTCTCTTCACTTTCTTTCATCATTGTGTGTGTGTGTGTGCGTGCACGTGTGTGTGTTCCCTACAGATCTCTTTCACCTTTTTGATTAAATTTATGAGTAAGTTCTCTTTTTTGTAGCTATTGTAAATGGAATTGCCTTCTCTGCTCCTTTTTTGGTTATTATTATTTTTGAGACAGAGTCTCACTCCAACACCCAGGCTAGAGTGCAGTGGTGCAGTCTGGGCTCACTGCATCCTCCACCTCCTGGGTTCAAGCGATTCTTGTGCCTCACCCTCCGAAGTAGCTGGGATTACAGGTATGTTCCACCATGTCCAGCTATTTTTTTTTTTTTTTGTATTTTTAGTAGAGATAGGGGTTGCCATATTGGCCAAGCTGGTCTCGAACTCCTGTCCTGATGTGATCCACCCACCTTGGCCTCTCAAAGTGATTACAAGCATTAGCCACTGCACCCAGACTGTATTATCTTTTTGATGTTCTGTTAGATTTGGTTTGCTGGTATTTTGTTTTTTTTTTTTTTTTTCATGTTTAAAATAACAATTTTTTTTTTATACTTTAAGTTTTAGGGTACATGTGCACAATGTGCAGGTTACTTACATATGTATACATGTGCCATGCTGGTGTGCTGCACCCATTAACTCGTCATTTAGCATTAGGTGTATCTCCTAATGCTATCCCTTCCCCCTCCCCCCACCCCACAACAGTCCCCAGAGTGTGATGTTCCCCTTCCTGTGTCCATGTGTTCTCATTGTTCAATTCCCACCTATGAGTGAGAATATGCGGTGTTTGGTTTTTTGTTCTTGCGATAGTTTACTGAGAATGATGATTTCCAGTTTCATCCATGTCCCTACAAAGGACATGAACTCATCATTTTTTATGGCTGCATAGTATTCCATGGTGTATATGTGCCACATTTTCTTAATCCAGTCTATCATTGTTGGACATTTGGCTTGGTTCCAAGTCTTTGCTATTGTGAATAGTGCCGCAATAAACATATGTGTGCATGTGTCTTTATAGCAGCATGATTTATAGTCCTTTGGGTATATACCCAGTAATGGGATGGCTGGGTCAAATGGTATTTCTAGTTCTAGATCCCTGAGGAACCGCCACACTGACTTCCACAATGGTTGAACTAGTTTACAGTCCCACCAACAGTGTAAAAGTGTTCCCATTTCTCCACATTCTGTCCAGCACCTGTTGTTTCCTGACTTTTTAATGATTGCCATTCTAACTGGTGTGAGATGGTATCTCATTGTGGTTTTGATTTGCATTTCTCTGATGGCCAGTGATGATGAGTATTTTTTCATGTGTTTTTTGGCTGCATAAATGTCTTCTTTTGAGAAGTGTCTGTTCATGTCCTTCGCCCACTTTTTGATGGGGTTGTTTGTTTTTTTCTTGTAAATTTGTTTGAGTTCATTGTAGATTCTGGATATTAGCCCTTTGTCAGATGAGTAGGTTGCGAAAATTTTCTTCCATTCTGTAGGTTACCTGTTCACTCTGATGGTAGTTTCTTTTGCTGTGCAGAAGCTGTTTAGTTTAATTAGATCCCATTTGTCAATTTTGGCTTTTGTTGCCATTGCTTTTGGTGTTTTAGACATGAAGTCCTTGCCCATGCCTATGTCCTGAATGGTAATGCCTAGGTTTTCTTCTAGGGTTTTTATGGTTTTAGGTCTAACGTTTAAGTCTTTAATCCATCTTGAATTAATTTTTGTATAAGGTGTAAGGAAGGGATCCAGTTTCAGCTTTCTACCTATGGCTAGCCAGTTTTCCCAGCACCATTTTTTAAATAGGGAATCCTTTCCCCATTGCTTGTTTTTCTCAGGTTTGTGAAAGATCAGATAGTTGTAGATACGTGGCGTTATTTCTGAGGGCTCTGTTCTGTTCCATTGATCTATATCTGTTTTGGTACCAGTACCATGCTGTTTTGGTTACTGTAGCCTTGTAGTATAGTTTGAAGTCAGGTAGCGTGATGCCTTCAGCTTTGTTCTTTTGGCTTAGGATTGACTTGGTGATGTGGGCTCTTTTTTGGTTCCATATGAACTTTAAAGTAGTTTTTTCCAATTCTGTGAAGAAAGTCATTGGTAGCTTGATGGGGATGGCATTGAATCTATAAATTACCTTGGGCAGTATGGCCATTTTCACGATATTGATTCTTCCTTCCCATGAGCATGGAATGTTCTTCCATTTCTTTGTATCCTCTTTTATTTCATTGAGCAGTGGTTTGTAGTTCTCCTTGAAGAGTATCCAGCCAAACTAAGCTTCATAAGTGAAGGAGAAATAAAATACTTTACAGACAAGCAAATGCTGAGAGATTCTGTCACCACCAGGCCTGCCCTAAAAGAGCTCCTGAAGGATGCACTAAACATGGAAAGGAACAACCAGTACCAGCCACTGCAAAATCATGCCAAATTGTAAAGACCATCGAGGCTACGAAGAAACTGAATCAACTAATGAGCAAAATAACCAGCTAACATCATAATTACAGGATCAAGTTCACACATAACAATATTAACTTTAAATGTAACTGGACTAAATGCTCCAATTAAAAGACACAGACTGGCAAATTGGACAGAGTCAAGACCCATCAGTGTGCTGTATTCAGGACACCCATCTCATGTGCAGAGACACACATAGGCTCAAAGTAAAAGGATGGAGGAAGATCTACCAAGCAAATGGAAAACAAAAAAAGGCAGGGGTTGCAATCCTAGTCTCTGATAAAACAGACTTTAAACCAACAAAGATAAAAAGAGACAAAGAAGGCCATTACATAATGGTAAAGGAATCAATTCAACAAGAAGAGCTAACTATCCTAAATATATATGCACCCAATACAGGAGCACCCAGATTCATAAAGCAAGTCCTGAGTGACCAACAAAGAGACTTAGACTCCCACACAATAATAATGGGAGACTTTAACACCCCACTGTCAACATTAGACAGATCAACGAGCCAGAAAGTTAACAAGGATACCCAGGAATTGAACTCATCTCTGCACCAAGCTGACCTAATAGACATCTACAGAACTCTCCACCCCAAATCAAGAGAATATACATTTTTTTCAGCACCACACCACACCTATTCCAAAATTGACCACATACTTGGAAGTAAAGCTCTCCTCAGCCAATGTGAAAGAACAGAAATTATAACAAACTGTCTCTCAGACCACAGTGCAATCAAACTAGAACTCAGGATTAAGAAACTGACTTAAAACCGCTCAACTACATGGAAACTGAACAACCTGCTCCTGAATGACTACTGGGTACCTAACGAAATGAAGGCAGAAATAAAGATGTTCTTTGAAACCAACGAGAACAAAGACACAACATACCAGAATCTCTGGAACACATTCAAAACAATGTGTAGAGGGAAATTTATAGCACTAAATGCCCACAAGAGAAAGCAGGAAAGATGCAAAATTGACACCCTAACATCACAATTAAAAGAACTAGAAAAGCAAGAGCAAACACATTCAAAAGCTAGCAGAAGGCAAGAAATAACTAAAATCAGAGCAGAACTGAAGGAAATAGAGACATAAAAATCCCTTCAAAAAATTAATGGATCCAGGAGCTGGTTTTGTGAAAGGATCAACAAAATTGATAGACCACTAGCAAGACTAATAAAGAAAAAATGAGAGAAGAATCAAATAGACGCAATAAAAAATGATAAAGGGGATATCACCACCGATCCCATAGAAATACAAACTACCATCAGAGAATACTACGAACACCTCTACGCAAATAAACTAGAAAATCTAGAAGAAATGGATAAATTCCTCGACACATACACCCTCCCAAGACTAAACCAGGAAGAAGTTGAATCTCTGAATAGACCAATAACAGGCTCTGAAATTGTGGCAATAATCAATAGCTTACCAACCAAAAAGAGTCCAGGACAAGACGGATTCACAGCCGAATTCTACCAGAGGTACAAGGAGGAACTGGTACCATTCCTTCTGAAACTATTCCAATCAATAGAAAAAGAGGGAATCCTCCCTAACTCATTTTATGAGGCCAGCATCATCCTGATACCAAAGCCGGGCAGAGACACAACCAAAAAAGACAATTTTAGACCAATATCCTTGATGAACATTGATGCAAAAATCCTCAATAAAATACTGGCAAACCGAATCCAGCAGCACATCAAAAAGCTTATCCACCATGATCAAGTGGGCTTCATCCTTGGGATGCAAGGCTGGTTCAATATACGCAAATCAATAAATGTAATCCAGCATATAAATAGAACCAAAGACAAAAACCACATGATTATCTCAAGAGATGCAGAAAAGGCCTTTGACAAAATTCAACAACTTTTCATGCTAAAAACTCTCAATAAATTAGGTATTGATGGGACGTATCTCAAAATAATAAGAGCTATCTATGACAAACTCACAGCCAATATCATACTGAATGGGCAAAAACTGGAAGCATTCCCTTTGAAAACTGGCACAAGACAGGGATGCCCTCTCTCACCACTCCTATTCAACATAGTGTTGGAAGTTCTGGCTAGGGCAATTAGGCAGGAGAAGGAAATAAAGGGTATTCAATTAGGAAAAGAGGAAGTCAAATTGTCCCTGTTTGCAGATGACATGATTGTATATCTAGAAAACCCCATTGTCTCAGCCCAAAATCTCCTTAAGCTGATAAGCAACTTCAGCAAAGTCTCAGGATACAAAATCAATGTACAAAAAATCACAAGCATTCTTATACACCAATAACAGACAAACAGAGAGCCAAATCATGAGTGAACTCCCATTCACAATTGCTTCAAAGAGAATAAAATACCTAGGAATCCAACTTACAAGGGACGTGGTATTTTGTTAAGAATTTTTACATCTATCTTCATCAGGGACATTGGCCTGTAGTTTTCTTTCTCGTTGTGCCTTTGTCTGGTTTTGATATCAGAGTAATTCCAGCCTCATAAAATGAGTTAGAGAGAGTTCCCCCCTCTTCAATTTTTTATAATACTTTGAGAAGAATTGGTATTAGTTATTCTTTATACATTTGGGAGAATTCAGCAGAGAATTCATCTAACCGTAGGCTTTTTTGGGGGGGAGAATTTTTATTACTGATTTATTCTCACTACTTCTTTTAAGTACTACTTTTCCTAATGCTCTTGCTCCCCCCCATCTCCCCCGACCAGGCTTCAGTGTATGTTGTTCCCCTCCCTGTGTCCATGTGTTCTCATTGTTTAGCTCACACTTGTAAGTGAGAACATGTGGTGTTTGGTTTTCTGTTCCTGTGTTAGTTTGCTGAGGATAATGGCACCCAGGTCCATCTATGTCCCTGCAAAGTGCATGATCTCATTCTTTTCTATGGCTGCATAGTATTCCATGGTATATATGTACTATATTTTCTTTATTCAGTCTATTATTGATGAGCATTTGGGTTGATTCCATGTCTTCGCTATTGTGAATAATGTTGCAGTGAACATACACGTGCACGTATCTTTGTAATAGCATGATTTATATTCCTTTGGTTATATACCCAGTAATGGGATTGCTGGGTAAAATGGTATTTCTGGTTCTAGGTCTTTGAGGAATTGCTACAGTATCTTCCACAATGGTTGAACTAATTTACATTTCCATCAACAGTGTAAAAGTGTTCCTATTTCTCCACAGTCTTACCAACATCAGTTGTTTCTTGAGCTTTTAATAATCACCATTCTGACTGGCATGAGATGGTATCTCATTGTGGGTTTGATTTGCATTTCTCTAATGATCAGTGATGTTGAGCTTTCTTTCATATATTTGTTGGCTGCATAAATGTCTTCTTTTGAGAAGTGTCTGTTCATGTCCTTTGATCACTTTTTAATGGGGTTGTTTATGGGGGTTTTTTTGTAAATTTATTTAAGTTTCTTGTAGATTCTGGATATTAGATCTTTTCAGATGGATAGATTGCAAAAAATTTCTCCCACTCTGTAGGTTGCCTGTTTGCTCTGATGATAGTTTCTTTTGCTGTGCAGAAGCTCTTTAGTTTGATTAGATCACATTTGTCTATTTTGGCCTTTGTTGCAATTGCTTTTGGCGATTTCCTCATGAAATCTTTGTCCATGCCTATGTCCTGAATGCTATTGCCTAGATTTTCTTCTAAGATTTTTATGTTTTTGGGTTTTACATTTAAGTCTTTAATCCATCTTGAGATAATTTTTGTATAAGGTATATGGAAGGGGTCCAGTTTCAGTTTCCTATGGATGGCTAGCCATTTCTCCCAGCACCATTTATTAAACGGGGAATGCTTTCCCTATTGCTTGTTTTAGTCAGGTTTGTCAAAGATCAGATGACGTAGATGTGCGGTCTTACGTCTGAGTTCTCTATTCTGTTCCATTGGTCTATGTGTCTGTTTTTGTACCAGTACCATGCTGTTTTGGTTACTGTTATTCTCACTACTTCTTATTGATCTATTTCAGGTTTTCTATTTTTTCTTTATCCAAACTTGGTAGGGTGTGTGTTTTCAGGAATTTTTCCATTTCCTCTAGGGTTATGAGAATATGGTGTTCATAACAGTCTCTAATGATTCCTTGTATTTGTGTGGTATCAATTGTGAGGCTCAATTTTGTTTCTTGTTTATTTGAGTTTTGTCTCTTTATCTTTGTTAGCTCTATAACAGATTATCAATTTTGTTTAAATTTTTTTTTTTTTTTTTTGAGATGGAGTCTTGCTCAGTCACCAGGCTGGAGTGCAGTGGTGCAATCTCAGCTCACAGCAACCTCTGCCTCCCGGGTTCAAGCGATTCCCCAGCCTCAGCTTCCCAAATAGCTGGGATTACAGGCATGTGCCACCGTGTCCAGCTAATTTTTGTATTTTAGTAGAGACGGGGTTTCACCATGCTGGCCAAGATGGTCTCTGTCTCCTGACCTCGTGATCTAGCCGCCTCAGGCTCCCAAAGTGCTGGGATTACAGGCATAAGCCACTGTGCCTGGCCTGTTTAAACTTTTCAAGAATCAGCTTTTTGTTTTACTCCTCCTTTGTATTTTTTTTTTCAGTCTTTATTTCATTTACTTCTGCTCTGATCTTTATTGTATCTTTTCTTTTGCTAACTTTGGATTTGTTTTGTTCTTGGTTTCCTAGTTTCTTGAGTTGCATGATTAGATTTTTATTTGAAGTCTCTTTATTTTTGATGTAAGTATTCAGTGTTATAAACTATCCCTTATAGTACTGCTTTTGCTGTATTTCACAGGTTTTGGTAGGTGGCATTATCATTTTCATTTGTTTCAAAATAATATTTGATTTTCATGTTAATATCTATATTGAACCAGTGGTCACTCAGGAGCATGTTGTTTTGTTTCTATGTATTTATACAGTTTCCAAGGTTTTTCTTGGAATTGATTTCTAGTTTTATTTCATCGTTGTCTGAGAAGACACTTGACATGATTTTATTTTTAAAAAATGAGACTTGTTTTGTAATCTAACATATGGCCTATTCTAGAGACTGTTCCATGTGCTAGTAAGAAGAATGTATATTTTGCAGTTGTTGGATAACATGCTCTGTAAATGTCTGTTATGTTCATTTGCTCTAAAGTCCAATTTAAGTCCAATGTTTCTTTATTGGTTTATTTCCTAGACGATCTGTCTATTACTGTATTGAAGTCCATCTTTCTCTTTAGTTCTAGTAATATATAGTTTAGCTCTATAAATCTGGGTTCTCCAATGTTGAGTACATATATATTTAGAATTATATCCTCTTGCTGTGTTTTTTTTTTTTTATCTTCTTGGTGACTCTTTTTTTTTGGAGACAGTGTCTCGCTCTGTCACTGAGCCTGTAGTGAAGTGGTGCGATCTCAGTTCACTGCGACCTCTGCCTTCAAATGGTTCTTGTGCCTCAGCCTCCAAAGTAGTTGGGACTATAGGTGCACACCACCATGGCGGCTAATTATTATTATTATTATTTTTGGTCTTTTAGTAGAGATGGGGTTTCACCATGTTGCCTAGGCTAGTATCAAACTTATGAACTCAGGCAATCCACTCACTCAGCCTCCCACAGTGCTAGGATTACAGGCATGAGCCATCATGTGTGGCCTGTGACCTTTTTTTTTTTTTTTTTTTTTTTGAGATGGAGTCTTGCTCTGTTGCCCAGGCTGGAGTGCAATGGGGCGATCTGGCTCACTGCAACCTCTGTCTCCTTGGTTCAAGCGATTCTCCTGCCTCAGCCTCCTGAGTAGCTGGGATTATAGGCATCTGCCACCACGACTGGCTAATTTTGGTATTTTTAGTAAAAACGGGGTTTTGCCATGTTGATCAGGCTGGTCTCAAATTCCTAACCTCGTGATCCGCCCGCCTCAGCCTCCCAAAGTGCTGGGATTACAGGCATGAACCACCACGCCAGCCAAGTCTTTTTATCTAATATAAGTATAGCTACTACTCCTTTTTTTTTTTGGTTTTTATTTGAGTGGAATATCTTTTTCTGTCACTACTTTCAGTCTATATGTATCTTTACAATTATACTGTTTCTTGTAGGCAGCCTATAATTGTATCATTTTTAATCCATTCAGCTCATCTATAACTTTTAAGTGAATAATTTAATCTATTTACATTCAAGGTTATTGGTATGTGAGGTTTTCTTCCTTTCACAGTGTATTTGTCTGGTTGTTTTGCATGTGTATTCAATGTTCTTTTCTTTTTATCTTATTTTTTTGTCCCTATGGTTTGGTGGTTTTCTCTCTTCCTTCCTTCCTTCCTTCCTTCCTTCCTTCCTTCCTTTCTTCCTTCCTTCCCTTCCTTCCTTCCTTTCCTTCCTTCTTTCCTTTCCTTCCTTCTTTCCTTTCCTTCCTTCCTTCCTTCTTTCCTTCCTTCCTTCCTTTCCTTTCTACCTTCCTTTCCTTCTTTCTTTGAGATGGAATCTCATTCTGTCACCCAGCCTGGAGTGCAGTGGCACAATATTGGCTCACTGCAAACTCCACCTCCTGGGTTCAAGCGATTCTCCTGCCTCAGCCTCCCGAGTAGCTGGTATTAAAGGCATGCGCCACACCTGGCTACTTTTTGTATTTTTAGTGGAGACGCGGATTCACCATGTTGGACAGACTGGTCTCAAACTTCTGACCTCAGGTGATCCACCTGGCTTGGCCTCTCAAAGTGCTAGGATTACAGGCGTGAGCCACCGTGCCCGGCCAGTGGTTTTCTCTAATGATATCATTTCAGTTTTTTCTCTTCTTTATTTGTGTCATTACTTTGCGAGTGAGTTTTATACTTTTGTATATTCTCATGATGGCAACTCTTGTCATTTTACTTCCAGGTTCAGAACTTCTTTCAGCATTTCTTGTAGGACTGGTCTGGTTGTCATGAATCCATCAGCATTTGCTTTCAGGGAAAGGCTTTGTTTATTTTTCATTTATGAAGGATCATTTTTCTGGAGTTAGTATCCTTGGGTAGAATTTTTTTATTTCAGCACTTTGAATATATTACCCCATTCTCTCCTGGCCTGTAATGTTTATGTTGAGAAGTCCACTATTAGTCTTATGGGAGTGTTTTTGTAAATGACTAGATGATTTTCTCTTGCTAGTTTTGGAATTATCTCTTTGTTTTTGACTTTTGAGAGATTGACTATATTGTGCTGTGGAGAAGATATTTTGGCATTGCATCTGTCTGGGGGATTGCTTGGCCTCCTGTATCTGGATGTCTAAATATATTGCTAGACTTGGGAAGTTTTCATCTATTATTCATCAAATAGGTTTTCCAACTTTTTCATTCTTCATCCTCTGAAATACTGATAATTTGTATATGTAGTCACTTTATGATGACCCATATATTATGAAGTCTTTATTCGTTCTTTTTTATTCTTTTTTCTTTATTTTTGACTGACTGGGTTATTTCAGAATACCTGTCTTCAAGTTCTGTGATTTTTTTTCTTTTGCTTGAGATAGTCTATTGTTGAAGCCCTTGAATATAATTTGTATTCTTTTATTTCAATAGTTTTAGGGGTACAGCTCATTTTTGGTTCTGTGGATAAATTTTTTAGTGTTGATTTCTGAGATTTTAGTGTACCTGTTACCTGAGCAGTATACACTGTACCAAATACGTAGTCTTTTATCCCTCACCCCCTTCCCAAACCCCCCGTGGATCCCCAAAATCCATTATATCACTCTTATGCCTTTGTGTTCTCATAGCTTAGCTCCCATTTATGAATGAAAATATATGACATTTGGTTTTCCATTTCTGAGTTACTTCACTTAGAATAACGACCTCCAGCTCCATAATTTTCATTCTATTCAATGAGTTCTTCGCTTCCAGGATTTCTTTCCTTTTATAATTTCTCTTTGGAAAATTTCTCATTGTTTCTTTGTATTGTTTTTCAGAATTCTCTTGTATCTCACTGAGCTTCTTTAAAATCAATATTTAGAATCCTTTTTTATTCTGGGATTTTGGGACTTTCTTTTTTATTGTGATGTGTTGCTAGAGAATTATTGTGTTCTTTTGGGTATATCCCACTTCCTTACTTTTTATTGTTTTCTGTGTCTTTATGTTGATATCTATGCACCTGTTGTAATGCTCACTTCTTCCAGTATCCTGAATTTGCTTTCTTTGGGGGATGTTTTTGTGAAGATGAATCCATGTTTTGTAGGGTCATTTAGCTTTGATTCTGCATGCATTCAGTAATGTAGTCTCTGTATGATTTCTTTGGCCTTAAACATCACCTGTAACTGTGATGTCCTTGGTGACTTAGAATGTGGTTATTAATGGAGGCTCTGGTAAAGTGTAAAGTGTTGCTGGGAACAGACATTGCAGGTAGTCCAGTCTTTAGCCCCAGTCATGACAACTGTGGGCTGATCATGCCTGCCCTTGAACCCCAGTGTAGCTTATTGATACCACCATTAGGTGGTCCAGGCAGGCCAATTCTCAGGCCTCCAGATGGCTTCCTCAGATGCCAGTAGTGACAACAGTGGGCCAGGTGGGCAGGCAGGCTCTTAGGCCCCTGGACAGCTAGTGTGGCATGGGCAATGGCAGTAATGGGATGACTCTCTGGGTTCTAAACAGTGAACGTTTGTGTTGGCAGTGGCTTTAATGGACTGGAGAGGTTGGTCCTTAGGCTTCTATATGGTGCGCGTGAGTGATCCTGTCTTCAGGTTCATGAGGAAAGTGTGCTGATGCCAGAGGTGGTGCAATAGCTGGAGTGATTCCCAGGTCTTCAGAAGGTTTGCTCAGGCTCTGGTGGGGAGGGACTGGTAAAGATAAACTGATGGTGTTTGATCTCAGGCCCCAGGTAGTGTGCAGGGGCTTAGGCTCTAGTAGGTAGAACAGGGGATTCTGTGGTGGTGGGTTTGAAGAATCTGGCCTCAGGGCTCAGGCTACAACATAGCAGTCCTGCTATTTGTGTTGGTGGGGTTGTCTTCAGCAGTCCCATGCAGGCATCTCTCAGGTTCTAGGGAGTGCACACTTTGTCTCCAGCAGGAGCCATGGCCACAGCGGTGTGCACAGGGAACCTGTACTCAGAGGGTGCACTAGAGCAGGGGTTCCCAACTCCTTGGCTGTGAACCAGTATGGGTCCACATAACAGGAGGTGAGCAACAGACTAGTAAGCATTACCAGCTGAGCTCCACCTCCTGTCAGATCAGCAGTGGCATTAGATTCTCATAGGAGTGCAAACCCTATTGTAAACTGTGCATGTGAGGGATGTAGGTTCCACACCCCTTATGAGAATCTAACTAATGCCTGATGATCTGAGGTGGAAGAGTTTCCTCCTAGTCTGTGGAAAATTTTTCTCCCAAGAAACAAGTACCTGGTTCCAAAAATGTTGGGTACCACTGCACTGGAGTACAGAGGTCATGCTGTGTGAGCAGGGTTGGCACTCCCAGCTCCAAATAAGGTGCCATCTGGGAGTCCTGGGTAGTACATTATTTGGTCCCTGGCTGCTGCAGTAATTGCAGCATTGTTTGGAGTCCAGGAGGGATCTCGTCCTTTGCACACACAGGCATAAGCATGGAGACTGTGCTACCAGAGTGGGTAAGATCATCACCCACAGTCCCAGACAGGCAGCCCTCCAGCTCACCCACCCCAGTCCCTGGCAGCATCAACAGCATTATGGCTACAGTGGTATGCAGAAGCAAGGAAGGGACCCTGCTCACTTTCTACATGTGAGCCAGAGTACAAATGCTGCTCTGGTATGGAGGGTGGGGTTGCTGCTCCCAGCCCCAGACAGTCAGTTTTCAGGCTTGCCCACCTCCACTCCCAGTGGCAATAACTGCTGTAGCAGTATGCAGAAAGGGAAAAGGAACCCATTGTTAGATAAACCCAAACAGAATCTGTGCTGCTGCTGCTGGGGGTGGGGTCACTTTTCATAGCCCCAGACAAGGAGCTTTGGGGGTCTCCAGATCAGTGCCCATGCTAGTTTTAGTATTCATGTGCACAGAGGAGGCTTCTTATGGTCAGGATTGCAGCCGTCAATAGTGGAATGCAATGGGGATCCCCTTCAGGCTCCCAGCTGATCTCAGCCAAGCTGGCCACTTTCTTCCATCTCCTTCTCTGCCTCAGATGTTTCCTATGTTGAGCTTCAGTGTTCTCTTTTAGATGTTCTAGTTGACGTATGATTATCTCTTCACAGTTTTGTTCTTTTTTTCTGGAGAGAAAGAGATCTGATGTCCCTAGTCAGCCAGCTTGAAACAATCTCCTCTTGTCTCTTCTTATAGAGATGCTAATCTCATTTATGAAGGCTCCACTCTCATGACCTAATTACATTCCAAGTGCCCTACTTCCTATTACCATTACCTTGGGAGGTAGGATTTCAAGATATAAACTTTGGAGTACTTTCATCTTAATGTTTGCTTACTCCCAAAGTGTATACATTGAAATCTTAACCATACCATACCAGTTAGGAGGCAAGGCCTTTGGAAATGATTAGGTCATGATGCCGGAGCCCTCATGAGTGTTATTAGTGCATTTATAAAGGATGCCTGAGAGAGCTCCCTTGCCCTTTCGCTATGTGAGTTTACAAAGAGAAGATGTTCATCTTTAAAGAAGAGGTTCTTCCCCACAAACCTAATATGCTTGAGCCTTGATCTCAGACTTCCTGGTTTCCAGAACTGTGAGAAATATATTTCTGTCATTTATAAGCTACTTAATTTATGGTATTTTGTTATAGCAGGCTGAATGGACTAAGACAAAGAAGGTCACTATATAATAATAAAGGGGTCAATTCAGCAACAGTATGTAGCAATTATATATGAACCAAGTACTGGAGCACCCAGACATATAAAGCAAAAATTATTAGAGCTAAAGAGAGAGGCACACCCCTACATGATAATAGTTGGAGACTTCAACACCCCCACTTTTAGCATTAGACAGGTTATCCAGACAGAAAAGCAAAAAAAGAAACATTGGAATTAATCTGCGCTATAGACCAAATGGACCTAACAGATATTTATAGAACATTTCATCTAACTGCTGCAGAATACACAATCTCTTCCTTAGCAAATGGATCATCCTCAAGGATAGACAATATGGTAAACTACAAAACAGGTCTTTAAAAATTCAAAAAATTATATCAAGTATCTTCTCTGACAACAGTGGAATAAAGCTAGAAATCAAAAACAAGATAAACTTTGGAAACTACAACACATGGAAATTAAACATTATGTTCCCAAAGGATCAGTGAGTCCATGAAAAAAATTAGAAGAAAATTAAAGTTTCTACAAACAAAAATGAAAACACAACATATCAAAACCTACAGGATACAACAAACACAATACTAAGAGGAAATTTTATAGCAACAAGCAATCACATCAAAAAAGCAGAAAAATGTTAAATACACAACCTAACAATGCATCTTAAAGAATTAGAAAAGCAAAACCAAACCAAACCCAAAATTAGTAGAAGAAAAGAAAGATCAGAGCAGAAATAGGTGAAATTGAAATGAAAAAAAAAAAAACACGCAAAATATCAACAAAAAGAAAAGTTGCTTTTTAAAAAGATAAAATTGACAAATCTTGAATTAAACTAAAAAAGAAAAAAGAGAGAAGACTCAAATAAATAAAATTAGAGATGAAAAAGGAGACACTATAACTGATCTGGCAGAAATTCAAAAGATAATTAGAGACTACTATGAGCAACTATATGTCAATAAATTGGGAATACATTGATAAATGTCTGGAGATATATGACTAACCAAGATTGAACTATCAAGAAATCCAAAACCTTAATAGGCCAATAGCAAGTAATGAGATCAAAGCCATAATAAAAACTCTCCCAGCAAAGAAAAGCCCAGGAACTGATGGTTGCACTGCTGAATTTTATTAAACATTTAAACAAGACCTAATACCAGTCCTACTCAAACTATTCCTAAAAATGAAAGAGTTCAGAATACTTCCAAGCTCATTATACAAAGTCAGTAAGTATAGTACTGATAACCACAACCAGAAAAAGATACGTCAAATAGAAAACTATAGGGTTATCTCCCTGATGAATATTGATGAAAAAATTTGCAAAAAAAAACACTAGCAAACAAAATTCTACAACACATTAAAAAGATAATTTATCATGACCAAGTGGAATTTATCCCAGAGATGCAAGGATGGTTCAACATATGCAAATTAATCAGCATGATACCTCATATCAACAGAATAAAGGACAAAAAACATATGATCATTTCAATTGATGCTGAAATACTGAAAAAATACTTGATAAAATTTGACATTATTTTATAATTTAAAAAAGCTGCACAGAGTATAGAAAGAATGTACCTCAATACAATAAAAAACACATATGAGAGACTCACAGGTAGCATCATACTGAAGAGTAAAAAAATGAAAATGAAAGCCTTTCCTCTAAGATCTTGAACAGGACAAGGATGCCTATGTTCACTATTGCTATTTCCATAATACTAGAAGTCCTAATTAGTGTAATCAGACAAGAGAAAGGAATAAGGGGCATATAAATTGAAAACAAAAGAGTGAAATTATCCCTGTTTGCAAATGAAATAATCTTATAAGTGGGAAAAACCTAAAGACTTCATACAATAAAACCAATGAGAACTGATAAACACATTCAGTTAAGTTGTAGGGTACAAAATTAATACAATGAAATCTGTAGCATTTCTACATGAAAACAGCAAACAATCTGAAAAAGAACTCAAGAAAGTAATCCCATTTACAATAGCTACAAATAAAACAAGACACCCAGAAATAAACTTAACCAAACAAATGAAAACTATAAAAACTACAATAAAAACTATAAAACATTGACACAAGAAATCAAAGGAGACACAACCCAAAAATGAAGAGATATTCCACATTCATGGATTGAAAGAATCAGTATTGTTAAAATGTCCATACTACCCAAAGCAATATAAGATAATGTAATTCCTATCAAAATATAAATGACATTCTTCACAAAAATATAAAAAAAATTCTAAAATTTATATGAAACTACTGAAGACCCAGAATAGCCAAAGTCATCCTGGGAAAAAGGAAGGAAACTGGAGAAATCACATTAGCTGACTTCAAATTAATACCACAAAGCTATTGTAAACAAAATAGCAGCTATTGTAAACAAAGTGGTAGACAAAAAAAGACATAGACCAATGGAACCAAATAGAAGACACAGAAAGAAATCCATAAATCTCATTTTTGAATAAGGCGCCAAGAGCGTACATTGGGGAGAGAACAGTCTCTTCAAAAAAAGGTGCTTAGAGACTGATTATTCATATACAGAAGAATGAAACTAGACCCCTATCTCTTGCCATATATGAGAATCCAATAAAAATTGATTAAAGACTTAAATCTAAGACCTCAAGCTGTAAAAAAAAAACTAAAAGAAAACTTTTGGAAAACTCTCCAGGACATAGATCAAGGCAAATATATTTTGAGTAATATTCCATAACCATAGGCAACAAAGCAAAAATAGACAAATGGGACCACATTAAGTTAAAAAGCTCCTGTACAGCAAAGTAAACATAAGCAAAATGAAGAGACAACCCACAAAATGGGAGAAAATATTTGCTAACTATCCATCTAACAAGGGATTAATAACCAGAATATATAAGGAGCTCAAACAATTATATAGGAAAAAAATCTAACAATCTGATTAAACATTGGCTAAAGATCTGAATAGATATTTCTCAAAAGAAGACATACAAATGGCAAACAAGCTTATGAAAAAGTGCTCAACATCACTGATCATCAAAGCACTGCAAATGAAAATTACAAAGGTATATCATCTCAGCCCAGGTAAAATGGCTTTCATCCAAAAGACAGGCAATAACAAATGCAGATGAGGATGTGAAGGAAAGGGACCTCACATACATTGTTGGTGGGAATGTAAATTAGTACAGCCATTACAGAGAACAGTATGGAAGTTCCTCAGAAAAGTGAAAATAGATTTACCCTATGATCCAGATATCCTACTGCTAGGCACATACCCCAAAGAAAGAAAATCAGTAAATCAAAGAGATATCTGTACTCCCATGATTATTGCAGCACAATTCACAATAGCCAAGATTTTGAAGCAACCTAAGTGTCTTTCAGCAAACAAATGAATAAAGAAAAGGTGGTATGGGTACTGAAGGTCATTGTGTTAAGGAAATAAGCCAGGCACAGAAAGACAAACTTTGCATGCTCTCACTCATTTGTGGGAGCTAAAAATTAAAACAATTGAACTCATGGAGACAGAGAGTAGAATGATGGAATAAGAGTTTGTGGTGGAGAAGTGGCAATGGTTAATGCATACAAAAATATAGCTAGAATAAATAAAATCTAGTATTTGATAGCACAACAGAGTGGCCAATAACAATTTATTGTACACTTAAAAATAACTAAAAGAGTATAATTGGAATGTTTATAACACAAAGAAAGGAGAAATGCTTGAGGTGATAGACACCTCATTTACCCTGATGTGATTATTTTGCATTATATGCCTTTATCAGAATCTCTCATGTAACTCATAAATATATACATCTACTACATACCCATATAAATTAAACAAAAAAATTATTAAACTGTTTTTATGCCTCAAAATTATTAGAATCCTATGAGATTTTCATATATATAGTCAAATTAAGTGAATAACAAATTGGTCTGAGCAAGTTTAGAAGTAGTTACAGATGAAAAGTCCTTTTCCTATTGAAATACAGCATTGAGTTTAATCAGCTGATAATTTGTTTATAATTACATCAAGACTATTAATTAAAATTAGGTAATTTCAATATCCATGTGTAACTATAATAATAAAGACACAATAATATATGTTGATGACTATTTAGTTATATGTATTTGAATAAATATTCTTATATCATCTATCAAGGAGTATGAATGTTGTTCTAGCCTTGTCTCTTAATATTCAACTATTCTTAAATTATATACATATGCAATCTTTAAAAAATTGTAATTTGGGGATATATTTAATATGTATTATTTTTATATTTTCTAAAAAGCTGGAAGATATTTAACTCAAGCTAAAAATTACCAAAGATCATAAATGTTCTGATTTAATTTACCTGGCAAAAGAAATATTAATGCTAAAACTTTCCAGGGAATAATTATTTCACTGCAGTACTTCATTGTAATCACTCTCATAGTTTGAAGTGCCATTTAATTATTTTTAGATGAAAACTATATTAAAGTGTATTTTCTATTGGTACAACATATAAGAGAAATATATATGTATATATAAGATTGTCTGAATTTTGTGTTTCTTACATAGTTCTATGATCAGTAAAAAGTGATAAACAAATCAAAAATGTAAAGTAAATTATCCATAGTCAAAAATTATCACTATAAAATAACATAGGTTCCCTCTTCTGTTTTACTTTTATGTTTGCAAGTCCTGGTATAAGCGTTAGCCTATGCCCCAGTCTATAGATATATCTTCCACTGAGCACACATCTACCAGAGCTAAATCTGTTGTATAATGTGAGCAGTCAGACTTTAAAGGTTGAAGCCAAAGGAAAGAGCAATGAGACCAGTCACAGAACCAGCAGACTTTTTAAAGACCAATTGAAAGGCCCTAGACTCCATGGAATTCTGTGAACATGAAGACTTTCCCAAAATGACACACAGTCAATTTCCTGTCATTTCTAATAAAAGAAAAACTATATCACACATACTTTAATATAGATAAACAAATAAATATTATAAATAAGTAAAAGTTTGATATTTAGATGGTTGTATTATTATTCATCAGTATTAATTTTCTGATTTTGGTGGCTGTTTGTGGTTGTGTATAAGAAAGTACTTGTCTATAGAAAATACTCTCTGAATTATCTTAGGATAAAGAGACGTTGTGTTAGCAACTTCTCGAATGGTTCAAGAATAAAAATGTTCTTTGCAGTATTTTTGCTAGTTTTATATCAATTATAAAATCAAAGTTTTACAAACCAAAAGAAAGCTACTCTCTCAAGTATTTAAGATATTGCTTGGTGCCCCATATAATATACATGAGTAAATTACTTGAGTGCTAATCTCATGAAAATATACTTGTTAAAAGAATGTGATTTTTATATGGTGTGGAGAGACTTTAGATGAATGCCTTCATTTATTTTCTCTGAAAATGGAAGAATATTTAGTCAATAATTTGCTCACATATGAAATTATATGTTACTTTGACATTCAGAATCCAAATGTGAAGACAGTGAATCAGGAATTCTAAAAGGAATTCTTGACTATGCCTTCAAAGATGTGTCTTCAAGGATAACTTGGTAGAAAGAATATGAATACATACTAATAAGGAAACATAACTATGAAATGTGAAATGTTTGGCTGATAAGCCAGATAAGTTCTGCTTAGACATACCAGGTTGACAGGTGCTATTTTTGGTATAATGAAATGGAAGAAAGAGATGGAGAGACATTGTTTGTAGAGTTTGGAGAACATCAATAAGAATTTGTTTCAGTAAAACAATGGATTTTTTATCCTGCTGGGTGGAGGCTTCCCTGGATTATTGTTGGCATAGCTAAGACCAGAGAACAGTTACAGACTGTTATGGTAAACAGGTATTGTGGAGATGAAAGCAGGTGGTAATGGTTCTCAAAGGGAAAAGACAGTGTGAATTTTCAATTCTTCAATGGCAGAACCAGAAAATATTGGATCACAACAGGATATCTTAAGCCCCAGAAGTCAGAACACAGAGTCTGCCAGTCCAGAAACACTTTATAGTTGCAGGAAAAAAATAACAAATTCATAGTGTAATTCTACATGGTAGCCTAACATTAAAATCTAATAAAATACATGAGTGAATTAGATTAAATTTAGAGAATAAAAGATTTATAGATATTACTAATATTCACTATTAAATTACCTTACATGTGCATCATAATTTATAATCAAGTTAATTATCTACACATGTTATAAAAACTGGAACTAATAACACAATGTACACGATTAAATGCTTTATGTTTATATTATAAACCAAATATTAATTGTCTGGCTTTCTTAATTCTAATACACATAAACTACTCTTGTGTTATCTTGAATTATCTATGTCTATCATATGAAATTGACCAAAATGTAAAGGTCCTTACATATAGGCTATTCCAGGTCACCTAAATATTACATTTTATTATTATACAAGTATTAAGTGATTGGTCATCAATTAATAACACTACTATGGAAGCATGTTTTTTTTTTTTGAGACAGAGTCTTACTCTGTTGCCCAGGCTGGAGTGCAGTGGCGTGATCTTGGCTCACTGCAACCTCCGCCTCCCAAGTTTAAGTGATTCTCCTGCCTCAGCCTCCCCAGTAGCTGGGACTACAGTTGTGCGCCACCATGCCAGGTTAATTTTTTTGTATTTTTTTTAGTAAAGATGTGGTCTTACCCTGTTGGCCAGGCTGGTCTTGAATTCCTGACCCTAAGTGATATGCCTGCCTTGGACTCCTATAGTGCTAGGATTACAGGCATGAGCCACCCCTCCCAGACTAGGAAGCATGAATTTAAAAATAATTTTGTATAGCTGGTGAGATACTCATGGAACAGATTGCCACAAAAGAGCAATGTACAGGTAGAATTTATATGTGTGTATATGTGCACATATATTTGCATATTCATTATTTTATAAGCATAAGGTTAATGAGCCTATTTTTAATACATTACATATAATATAAACACACAATTTAAAGAATACCTTCATAAATAAAAATATATTGACCAAAAGAACTGAAATGATTTATATTTCTAGTTTTCCAAAGAGAATCACTTTCCATTTAGAAGTTAACTCACTGAAATTCATATCAGTTTGAATTTTAAATATTTAGCACCCTAAAACATATATATTTGAATTTGTATGCAGGGCCCAAAGCATTTCTTTAACTACTGTTTGGGAGAAATATATATTCTAGATAAACTGATAATTCTTGTTTTAAAAAAAGATGTTATGTTTCTCTAATTAGTTATTTAGCCTGGTGAAATATGAAGAAAGAGGTTAAGAGCTTTGAATACGATTATGTGACTAAAATTTCTATTTCCTTCAAGTATTTTTAAATTGTCCAGTAGTTTAATGTTTCATAAAACCAAATAATCACATAATTCGTAAGACAGGCTCATTACATAATTAAAGCATGTTATTTCACAATACAATCATCGAATCACAACTTGGACCTAGTTTATAAAATAGTTTGTGAAAGGGTAAAAGAAGCAGTCACAAGAGACTTCAACTCAACCCTTGTTATCATCTTGCAATAGTTAATAAGAAGTTGAATAATACTAAGTACTCTTACAGATAAAATCGAGCAAAAATAAAAATATCATTTTCTCTACTTGATATCTGTCTAATGTAATGTTACCACATTTTTTTCAAGTGTCTAGCAAAAATTCAAATTAAGAACAGCAAAATAGTCCTACAATCTGATGTCTGAAACTAACTGTGTGGCTCTAGAATCTTATTTTGTATTTCCCCATGATTGAGATTTTTCACTAAAATAAACAAATTCCGCTTCTTACATAATAACCTGAAGAATTTGTATCATTACAAATTGAAAGCAACTGGGATTCTGTTTTCCACATTGAGTCTCTGTAAAATTCAAATACAAGAATATCTGAGGAAAATATTTAGAGAACACACATCTTATTTCAGAACTTGTAAAATGGGGCTGTAGGTTAAGCCCTGGTAAATGCTTCCATGGAAATCCCATTAGAACATCAAAGAAGAAAGCCCCATGCCTTTCCTAGAGGCCAGTTTCCTGGAAGGATATTTATTCGGGAAGTTAATGTTCCTCTTACTTCCGGTTTTCTAAAAGTAATAAGCATTTTTTTCACAATACACCCCTTACAAAAATTGTTCTAACTTTTAGTTACCAGTGTGTGGGGGGAGGTATAAAACCTATATTTAATAATGGAGGTTATTAACTTGTTAGAGGCTAAAATAATAAAGTTGCATTTAATGAGTAGTTAAAAGATTAAAAATATTAAATATTTTTGAGAAAAATAATGTCTGCAAGAAAGTTATGAAAGTAATGGTAAATTCTGCAATATGCTGAATAATAATTTAGTTTATTTGAAAAATATTTTACTAGGAAAAATTAATGTTATAGAAAAGATGAACTATTCATCAGTTATCAAAGAAAAGCATTAAACTTTTAAATTTTTATTAGTTACTGGGGTCTTCAGTATTAAACTTAAAAAATACCAAAACAAGAATTATACAATATTCATTTCAGCACAGAGTAGAGCCTTAGGGAAAAATCCTGCAATAATAGTTATATATTTTCGTTGTCATTTAACAAAAATGAATAGTCTTATACTCAGGCTTGCTCAAGATCTAACTGAGAAGAGGGCTAGGATCACACTCTTTTAGATCTCACCCTGGAGCTAAATCTGTATTTAACAGCAGGGTAAAATTGTTGTGGCTGTAGGGAGCAGCTTAAAAGTGCACATTAAAGTCATATAGACCTCCTTCCATAAGCGGTAGGAGACTAGAACGACTCACCTTCAAGAAGAGATCCTCCTGTTCCATGCACTTGAGGGAAAAATAATCTACCTTATTCTATCACCACATTCAGCTCTTTGACATGACACACTTCAGCACATATATCAACAAACACGCAATGTGAGAATCAGAATAAAGCATACAGAGATTTTGAAGAACTGTGAAGGTCAGGATTTTCCACGTTATTTCTATATACTGCAGGCAAAAAAGTTCTGCACTGATTTGGAAGACACTGCATTTTATATCCTTTTCTTAGAAATTCAGACATTAGAATATTAAAAGTTGCTAAGGCATTCTAAAGACATCATTTTAACTAATTAAAATGTACTATTTCTTTTTTTTGGACTAAAGTACTTCTTTATAGTAGAATATCTATTAGCATCCTGCAGAACTGTGCTCCATGAAACAATGTCTGAGATCATCATAGATACTGTTTACTTTATGACGTTATTTATTTTTTCTACTATTGTTTCATAATTTTCAAATGCAAAAGACAGTTTTAAAAATAAAATACTACAATATTTCTTGAAATAAATCCTTGCAGATCAAATTTGTAGTAAAATTATTGAAACATAATGACCCTCAATTATACTTCAGGTGAATGAAACAGTTAATGATCCTAGTTGTATGTAGATAATTTAAATAGAAATATATTTAAGTATTTAAGTAGACTGTAATATATTTAATTGTATTGAATACTGAAAATTATCTTTTGTCAAGTAAAGTCTAAAGAAACTATCTGGGATTTCATTAAAGCGAACTATGGCAAGTTTTGCATTCTATAGAGTTTGCTAATAACATTTTACACCAGTTTCTATAGTTTTCCCATACCAGGAGTCTTACAATGCACTTTTAAAAAATGCTAATGCTATAGTAGAGGTCTAAAGTGAATTAATCCTTGTGGGTAACAATTTAAGTAGATTAAGCACTCAGTGATGCATAACTTTCAAGAGTTAAATTACCAAGGGTACAATTACTAAAACAAAACAACTTCATCTCTAATGACACATATAAGTGTTGAAATGTTTATTTTCCTACTTCTGTGAAAGGTAACTATCATTTAAATATGAGGAATAGTTATGCTGTTTATTATATTTGTTATGCAGGCATATCTACTCATTCAGGATTTTTGTCAATTATTTTTACTACACATTTCCTAGGGATACCAGCCAACACAAAATGTAATTCTTAAAATTCTTGTTTTACTCTCATTTATTACCTAACTTGGTAAGGACTCCTGTAATTTTGATACAAATCCTTACCAAAAAACAAACAAACAAAAAACATTTATTAGCTGAGAAATGTATAGTGTACTATTTATCTTACCACTAGGGGTCGGTGTGAGTGCATGCCAGAAACTGTGGGTAAAACCAAGATTTTGGTTTGCTATGTTATAATTTGATATTAAAATATGAAAATAACTTTATGGCATTCTCCCTCATTCCATTTTTCACAGAAATCTATTCTAATATGGCTCATAAGAGTATAAAGAAAATGTTCCATTGTAAATTATCTCTGGAAAAGCTCAGGTACTAAAATTTTTATGTATTGCCAGTGTAGAATAATTGTCTTAATTTTCCTTGTGCTAATATTAACTTCAAAAGAAATAATGGAGATGGAAAATATCAAAATCAGATAACCTTCCCTCTATATAAACTCACCCTTTACAAATAATAGCAGCACTTGAAACAACCAAAAGCAACACAGCTTCCAACCAGAGATGGTAAAGCTATGTCTCCTCAGGTTCTATATGAACTCTGTAGATTACCTATTTTTTCTTTTTAAGAGCAGCTTGTGAGACTTCACTTATCTTTCATGAAAACTTGAAGAAAACATGCTATTCTTTAAAGAATTCCCATAATGCCAAAGGTATTTAGAAAAAAATTATGAATTCTAAACCAAGGGTGCATGAAATATATGTCATATTTAGAAAGGCACTTTAATTAATATTGTTAATATTAATATTTAGAAGGTAGTTAAAAAGAGTCCTATCACATTTGAATAAACTGCCTTTTTCACCATAAAACAAAATGGCTCAATATGGTCTTAATTGACTTGAGAAGAAAACAAATTAATGACAAACAGACTAGAATGCACCAATAAAAACTTACACCAAGAACTGTTTTAGAAAACATGCTTATTGCTCTGTTTGTTTCTATTCTCTTTGTCTCATATTGTATTTCAATTTTGAAAGTAAGTTTATGTAATATAAATAAGTTGATCAATTAACAAAATACATAATCTAGACTCACATATTAAAACAACAAAAGACACACACACATCACAAGTAAGAAACTGTTAAAAACATTCTCATATCTAATGCAGATGTTACTCATTTTTAATACATATATCTGAACATGGATTAATATAAAACTAAAACTAAAACAAAAACAAAGCATTCTTTGAATGTGAGATGCTATTAATAAATTAAATCTTACAGATATATAGCACAATGAAGATGAACTGTGGTACCAGATAAAATACCACTGAATCAAAATTTATTTTAGATTTCACAGAAAATGTAAAAAATATGAAATACTCTACAGACTGAAAATACATATGAGGTATTATATGGTATCCATTATAGTTTGGGCTGTCAATTTAAATAAAAATATCCATCAATATTTATTTATCTGAAATTTAACTTGAACTGGGGTATCATGTAATTTATGTGATGAACCTAGCTACTACATAATGTGTCACAAATTGTAATTATGAATAGTTTGTTTTTTCAGTTTTACCTATGTCAAATAATGGTGGTTTTTTTCAAGATGCCGGAAAAAGTCTTTAAAAATTAGGTAGCATTCTGGATATTAGCCCTTTGTCAGATGGGTAGATTTTCTGTAGTTTGCCTGTTCACTCTGATGGTAATTTCTTTTAATGTGCAGAAGCTCTTTAGTTGAATTAGATCCCATTTGTCAATTTCGGCTTTTGTTGCCATTGCTTTTGGTGTTTTAGTCATGAAGTCCTTGCCCATGCCTATGTCCTGAATGGTTTTGCTAGGTTTTCTTCTAGTGTTTTTATGGTTTTAGGTCTAACATTTAAGTCTTTAATCCATCTTGAATTAATTTTTGTATAAGGTGTAAAGAAGGGATCCAGTTTCAACAAATTTACAAGAAAAAATCAAACAACCCCATCAAAAAGTGGGCAAAGGATATGAATAGACAGTTCTCAAAAGAAGACATTTAAGCAGCCAACAGACACATGAAAAAATGCTCATCATCACTGGCCATCAGAGAAATGCAAATCAAAACCACAATGAGATACCATCTCACACCAGTTAGAATGGTGATCATTAAAAAGTCAGGAAACAACAGGTGCTGGAGAGGATGTGGAGAAATAGGAACACTTTTACACTGTTGGTGGGAGTGTAAACTAGTTCAGCCATTGTGGAAGACAGTGTGGAGATTCCTCAAGGATCTAGAACTAGAAATACCATTTGACCCAGGGAACCCATTGCTGGGTATATACCCAAAAGATTATAAATCATGCTACTATAAAGACACATGCACATGTATGTTTATTGTGGCACTATTCACAATAGCAAAGACTTGGAACCAACCAAAATGTCCAACAATGATAGACTGGATTAAGAACATGTGGCACATATACACCATGGAATACTATGCAGCCATAAAAAGGATGAGTTCATGTCCCTTGTAGGGACATGGATGAAGCTGGAAACCATCATTCTGAGCAAACTATCGCAAGGACAGAAAACCAAACACCGCATGTTCTCACTCATAGGTGGGAATTGAACACTGAGAACACTTGGACACAGGGTGGGGAACATCACACACAGGGGCCTGTTGTGGGGTAGGGGGATGGGGGAGGGATAGCATTTAGGAGGAATACCTAATGTAAATGATGAGTTAATGGGTGCAGCACACCAACATGGCACATGTACATATATGTAACAAACCTGCATGTTATGCACATGTACCCTAGAACTTAAAGTATAATAAAAAATAAATTAAAAAAAATTAGGTAGTATTGGCAACCTGGAAATAAGTAAGTTTTTTATTACAATTTACAATAATGTTTTAAGATGAAGGCTTATACATATGTTGCCAAACTGTATCATACGTCAATGTTTTTAGCATTCATAGTTTTATTTCATATTTCAAACCTAATGAAGGAATAGAGATTAATTTTCCCTTCTCCTTCTCAGTCTCTACAACCAGCACTGTGATCAGTGCTTACAAATAATTTCATTCAGTCCTTAAAGCAACCCAGTAATTGGGAATTATTTCTTATATTTACAGATGAGAAAACCAAATATCTGATAAGTTAATATACCCAAAATGACATGATGAAAACACACCAAAAAACAAACTCTATATCCAAATTCTTTTTTTTTTTTTTTTTTATCTCACTGTGTCACCCAGGCAAGAGTGTAGTGGAGTAGTCACTGCTCACTGCAGCCTCAACCACCCTGGCTCAAGGGATCCTTCAACCTCAGTCTTCCAAGTAGCGGGACCACAAGTGTATGCCACCACGCCTGGCTAATTTTGTTGTTGTTGTTACTTTTATAATTATTTTTTGTAGAGACGTGGTCTCCTTATATTGCTCAGGCTGCTCTCAAACTCCTGAGCTTAAGTGATCCTCCCACCTCAGCCTTCCAAAGTGTTGGGATTACAGGTGTGAGCTACCACATCTGGCCACTGTGGCCAAATTATTCAAATCTTCCACTATATTATGATGTCACCTTAATAATTTATTTAAACATACTTATCTTAAATATATTAAAAAATAAAATTAAAGTGTTAAATATATTAATTTTGAGGAAAAGTTTCAATATCCAAATCATTTTCTCTCAATTTAGTGGTATTTTATATTTAATTTTGAAATAAGTTATACAAATTTGTATTTGGGTTGTTACTTGGATTTTCTCTCATTTTCTCTCATATTCTCAAATACAACTAAAATCTTCCACGCTCTTGTCCTTCTTTTCTTTCTACCTCAAAATAAACCCAGCTGTTGCAAGTTTAGATATTGTAGAGGTTTTGGAAGAATTGTTAACTATTTTACAATTTCCCAGTTTTTAAGATTATTTAATTATTATGAATTTGCAAAAGATTAAAATAGCTTTCTAGGCCAAGTGCTGAAAACATGACCTGAAGCTTCCCAATAACATTTTTGACATTTGGTTTTACTTTAACAGTGATAACAGGTAAAAAATTGTGCTTTATTTATCATATGTCATTGAAATTAATATCACAGGAAGTCATATAATATCAAATCTTCAAATTGTAAATACCTTGAAGGATTCATGGTACCTATATTTTTATACTCGCAAAAGTAGTTATAGATTTTTAAGTGATTAATTGAAAAATCAGGAGCTGTGGGTCCTATTCTGATTTTCTTTAGCTAGATAATAGGATCATGTACAAATCCATTGAAATAACTGAATCATAATGACCCTATCTGAAAATCAATGTGTGTTGGGCCTTGATATATTTAGCAATCTCCCCAGTTCTAAAGCCATGTGATTATTTGATTGGAAACAAAAACAAAAACAAATACAATCCTTGGGTCTGATTTTACAAGTCAACTATGTTCAATGCACATCAAAACATGAAAAAAAATTCTATAATTTCCATTTTGCCTGAATAATTCTGATGACAGGAAACCACCATCCCATGGGGAAAATCAGCTGTTTTCCAACATCTGTGATAGTTAAAATGTATTTTCTTAGACATTAACTCAATTGGTCTCTCCAAATTCCATTCATGGGTTTAGGTCTGACATCTGGCTTTATGCTTGTTACACTCAATCAGTATAATTTTCAACCATGATTTTTCAGACTGTACAACATGATGTTTTGATACACATATATATAGTGAAATGATTACCACGATCAAGCTAATTAACATATTTGTCACCTAATATAGTTAGCTTTTGTGTGCGTGTTGTAACAATACTTAAGATCTACTTTTAGCAAATTTCAAGTGTACAATACATTGTTATTAACTGCTGTCATCCTGCTGCATATTAGGTCTCCAGAAATTGTTTCTCTTATAACTGCAAGCATATGTCCTTTGATCAACATCTCCCGATTTCCCCTACCACCCTTCCCTGGTAACTCTCATTCTATTCTCTATTTCAATGAGTTTGACTTTTTTAGATTTCACATATAAATGAGATAATGCAGTATTTGTCTTTCTGTGTCTGACTTATTTCATGTAGCATAACGTCCTCCAATTAATACAACTTTTTATATAAGTAAAAATTTATTCATTTGGATCCTTGATTTTTCTAAAACTTTTAAAAAACAATATAGATTGTAGAACTAGCAAACTTCCAGTATCAGTTAAATTTACACATGAAAATAAAACAAATATTTCAACTGACAGCTCACATATCCCAACTGAATATTGGAAGGTATAATTGCTAATACCTGTCACAAGAAAATGCACACATCTCATTACAGTTTCCCTAATACCTAAGCTATTGGGTGATCTGATACAAGGAATAAGAAAACTATACTGTTATGCCTCTTTACCAAATAAAAAAGTTGTCAACTAGTGTTTTGTAAGGATTTATTATGTGTCCAGTACTCTACTAAGCAAAGCACTTACTAACCAAGTATAAATCACATGTATTTTAATTATAAACTAATAGATTTAATTATTCTTGTTTTGTTTTTGCTATATCCTGTCACGGTGCAAAACATTACATGCAACTTAATTCAAATAACAACATTATAAGGTGGGTGTTTTCTAATCATGCCTGATGATAAATTAAAGCTTAAGAAGTAAAGTAACCTGCCTGAAGGTACATAGCTGGGATTTGGGGGAGCTAGGAAGTGAAAGTGGGTCTTTAGCCTTCTGACATATTCAATAACATTGAACCATTAAACTGTAAACTCAAGCTCACGCTAAGAACAAGAGATGTCCCAACTTCTGAGTGGTCAGTCCTCTCCAGTGGGGGTTTTGTATTGACAAAATATACAATTCTATAAATTAAAGGATAGAAAACTAACAGAAGACACATTCCTACAGTGCACTTACAGACAGTTGTATTTCTGTATTGTAAAACCCAGAGCACACTTAAGATTCACAACTAAGCACAATTAAGGTTTTCTGGAAGAGGTAAGAAGTCACCAGATAGATAGATAGATAGAGAGACAGATAGATAGATAGATGGATAGATAGATAAAACAGAATCCTGAAGAGTCACACCTGTAATTTTTCCTCAGAAAATTATCCTAAGTAGAAAATAGCAGTTGTTGAACTCATTGTAGTTGAGAGGGAAACACTCTGTACTTTAAAGACTGACTTTCATCATTTTTTATTTACAGAAAAATTGAGTTCTTGGTAACAAGTGTATTTACAGCATCCTAAATATGATTTCAGCACTCAACACTACCCTTAGAAGCAGACAAGATAATGAAAGAAGAAAATGAAGTTTCCAAAAAAGAAAAGAGGCATTGCCTAGTCATGCATGACAAATAATTTTACAAAAAGGAAGAACTGGAGGTGAAAAAACATTGCATGATTTTTATACATTGATTATACTGATATCATTTCTGCATATTATTTAACAAAGTCATATATAGAATTTACAGTGCACTACATAACTAATTTAAATCTCACAAAAACCTTCTAAGGAATACTGTATTATCAATCTCATTTCCAGACGAGGAAATTAAGACACAGAAAGTTGAAGTAACTTAACTCTGAAGTAGTGGAGGGCCATATGTTATTAAATGGAAGAACCAGAATCAACCTCAAGAAGTCTGGTTTTGGTATAGGAGTTAAAAAGAAATTATTTAGGTAAATAGTGAAGGTAAGGAAGTCCTTGGTAAGGTTTTCCTTTTAATGAAAAGCAGCCCCCAAATAATTTTCTCTTCTAAAAAAGAGTAGCCTGTGAAATCCAGCTGCACACATAGACAAGCAAGCTGGAAGCTTTCGTGGGTGAATGTCAGCAGTTGTGCCAATAGGAAAAGGCTACCTCAGACTAGACATGTTCAAAATGGTGGCTCCATCTTCCCTCTATTTGCCAAGCCACGCTTTCAGTAAGGAGAAGACAATATGGAGCCAGCCAGACAATGACCCCATTTGCATAAGATTAGGGTGGGGTGACCAGCCTTCCCCGCATGCTATGTAAACGTCACACCTGGTGGAACCAATTTGCGGGCTCTATGTAAATCAGACACCGCCTCCTCAAGTCTGGCTACAAAATCTGGTATAATTTGCGGTGGGCTGGTTTTTCACTTTCGGAAGCGTCTCTCTCTCTTTCTCTCTCTCTCTTTGAAACAGAGAATACAGATAACACTTTTGAGTTCCATGTGTTCTTTCATTAAAACTTCAATGAGAGAGAGAGAGAGAGAGAGAGAGAGAGAGAGAGAGAGCTCTTATCCTTTCTCTTTCTTTTGCCTATTAAACCTCTGCTCCTAAACTCACTCTCTTGTGTGTTGCGTGTCCTTAATCTATTTGGCGCAAGATGATGAACCTCAGGTGTTTACCCCAGACAGTGATGCTGATTCAGTTTTAGTGTCTGTATTCTTTTTAAAAATTTTTACTCTATTTCATTTTTTTGAAGAGATGTTGCTCACGCTGATCTTAAAGTTCTGGCCTCTAGGGGTTCTCCTTTATGTTGGTTTTCCCTATGTAGAAAATGTGCTACACATAGCCACTCTTTATTGTTAATTCAGTCTACTTACAGCTTCTTCAAATTTCATATTCATTATTGTCCAAACACACATAAGTAGAAAAATATATATAATGTAAAGATATAGAAATTTGAGAAGATGCAAAGTCAATGCTGATTGGAGAAACTGGACTTGACTATCATAAGCTGCTACTACTAAAATACAATTACTAAAAGAAAAAAATCTGAACTAAATGAGAAATGTCACAGGAAAACAATAAAGAATTATAATTATATAATATGTCTCATCCTTGGTGAATTATTGCAGTGTAGTAATCATCTGATAAAATATGTTCCAATCACAATAAGCATCAACTTTTGAAGGATATATTGGAATTATCTTCATTCCACATTACAGCAGGTAAAAATTAGAACATTTTCTATTCATATTCCTTGGTAAGATTAATTCTGGATAACAGAACCATGTCAGTAATATCCATAAGAGTTGTTTGATTATTGTGAAATTTTCTGTTCATGAAAAAAGTTGCTTTTCAGCCAATAAAGTGAAGTAACAAGCAAGAGAAGAAGAAGAAAAGCAAACTTGACTGCCAAAAAAAAGACAGATGACTATTATTTTTAACTTTCTTATTATCAGCTTTCTTCATTACTCATAGCAGTGGATATACACAAATCCATTTAGGGGTAAATTCTAAGTGACATATAAAACAAACAGAAGAGATAATGAATCATTTTCTTCAAATATTCTATATTTCAAAAAAAAGTATAATCCTCAATTTACAAACTCCTAAGCAGTGTTACCTATCATAATGTCTTACAAGAGGTAAAGAACACATTCAATACAATTTCCTAAAAATTAACTTACTATGTGCCTAGTGAATACTTACCAAGAGCATTTATACAGAAAATACAATGATAAATAATCACTGTGTCTCATGAACTGCTACTATCTTAGCAAGAATTATGTGATTTTATTCTTGTATTTTCAGATCAGAAAGTTTTATGCAAAAGTATTTAGGCCACTTCCTAATCATGTGTTTTAGAGTCCCTAAACTACATTTCTTTAGCTTTCAAAAAATTTAATATAATTAAATTGAAAGCTTTCTTTAGATGTTCAATACATATTTTAGGAACATTTAAACATTAAGCAATAAGTTTATTCAAATAAATTATTCCTACCGATATTTTTTATTTAGTTAGCACCGTACTCTTGAATCCACAGTGTCTTCTCTGCTGTGTGCTGCTATAAAGAAATACTTGAACCTGGGCAATTTGTAAAGTAAAAAAGTGTATTAGTTTATGGTTGTGCAGACTGTACAAAACACATGGCACCAGCATCTGCATATGCTGAGCTTCAGGCTGCTTCCACTCATGTTGGAAGGGGAAGGGGAGCTACTGTGTGCAGAGATCACATGACAAGAGAGGAAGCAAGAGAGGGAGAGGTGTTAGGCTCTTTTTAACAGCCAGCTCTCATGCGAACTAATAAAGTGAGAAATCATGCATCCCCACTACTGCCTTACAGAGAAGGCATAAATCTATTCATGAGGGGTCAACCTCCATGACCCAAACACCTGTTGTTAAGCCCCACCTCCAACAGTGAGGATCAAATTTTGACATGAGTTTTGGAGGGGAAAATATCTAAACCTTAGCATTAAAGTTCTCCCTTCTGTAAAGGTAGTAGGAAATCAAGATCTGGAATAAGGGAAGTAGGACAAAGAAAGAGTAATTCACTGCAATTCCTAAAATAGAAATTATCTTCCTCATCTATGGTGTATTGTGTATACTTTTCCTAAGAATTAAAGTCTCTTCAGTCCAATTGTTTACTTTTTTTGCTAATCATCACTTATATGTTATTCAGTTCCTTAATTTTTATGGCTCATATAATGGGATTAAAATATTTTTATGGGCTTGGCATGGTGACTAATGCCTATAATCCCAGCACTTTGGGAGGCAGAGGCGAGCGGATCACCTGAGGTCAGGAGTTTGAGATCAGCCTGGCCAACATCTCAAAACCCTGTCTCTACTAAAAATAGAAAAAATAGCTGTGCAGGGTGGCACGTACCTGTAATCCCAGCTACTACACCGGAGGCTGAAGTGGCAGAATCGCTTGAACTCAGGAGGTGGAGTTTACAGTGATCAGTGAGCTGAGATTGTGCCACTGCACTCCAGCCTGGGTGACAGAGCAAGATTCCATCTCAAAATAAAAAAAAAAAACTTTTTTTTTTTTATGGCCACTCCTCTTATCTAATAAATATTGTTCCTCCACAGCCATGCAAAATAGACAACAGCCTCCAGCAAATTCTCAGTCTGGGCTACAAAATCTAATGTACATTCTGGATGTGGGAATAAGTGTATTTTCGACTACTTAAATTTGTTGTAGTAGGAAATTTTCGTCACCTAGGTAGGCTTAACCTTTACTGGCATATAAATTTTTTAAATACTGGAAATTAAATTTTAGATCTAGTTTGTAAAGTATGATTATCAGAGTTTAGATCATTTAAAAATACAATGTGATACAATAGTATAGATGAATTATATATAGAAACATATATAATAAATATATTTTGCATATATATATTTCCCTTAATTTTCAGTTTCTTCCACTGACTACCAGAAAGAACAATTTTAAAAACTAAGTGCATTTTCATCATCTTTGAAGTAGATCTATATTTTTCTTACAACTATTTATATAATTATATTGTTAGATATCAATATGAAAAAATAATTACATTTTTAGGATATAATGTTTTATAAAATGTTATATATCTATTTTCATGTATTAAATCCACTGCGATGAAAAGTTTGTTAGTTGCTTTTCTATTCTTTTAATTTTATTTTCAACTTCCTTATATTTTTGAGTATGTTTTAGGACTATGATGCTCATCTTTATTGTACATTGCTTTTTAAAAACTATACATCATTTAAAAGCATACTTAAACTCATATATTTTTCTGTTTTTTATGTTAATAGCTTGTATAATTAACCTTTGTTTTCAGTATGTTTTTTCCCTTTACTCTGAATTTGAGGTTTTCTCTTTTCAAGTTCTTGGATATGAACTTTATATTTTCTCTGTTTCTACTCTGAGTATCTTAGCTGTTGACTTTACATTTTAGTTTTATTGACTTCTTTCAGAGAGCCCATTAGAGAGGTCTCCTGTTATCCACAAGGGATATATTCTAAGACTCTCAGTAGATGCCTGAAATTATGGATAGTACTGAGCCCTATATATACTCTGTTTTTTTAATACATACTTATGATAAAATTTAATTTATAAATTAGGCAGAGTGATGGAATAACAGCAATAACTAATACTAAAATAGAACAATTATAAAAAGACTATAACAAATGTTATATAAATGACCCCTCTCTCTTTCTCAAAATATCTTGTATACTGTACTGTACTCTCCTATTTGGCGACTGTAATTGACTGCAGATAAGTGAAAGCAAGGATAAGGGAGAAATTACAGTTGACACTTGAGCAATGCAGGGGTTAAGGCACTGATCCCTGCAGAGTTGAAAATCTATGTATAACTTTTGGCTCCCCCAAAATATAACTATTAATAGCTTATTACTGACCAGAGGCCTTATGTGTAACATAAACATTTGAATAACACATATTTTTGTGTTATATATGTTATATAATGTAGTCTTATTTTAAAAACTAGAGAAAAAAATGTTAAGAAAATAAGAAAGAAGAAATGTATTTACTATTAATTAAGTGAAACTAGATCATTATAAAGGTCTTCATCTATCTTATCTTCATGTTGAGTCTGCTGAGGAGGAGGAAGAGGAGGTGTTGTTCTTGCTGTCTCAGGTGTGGCAGAGGCAGAAGAGGTGGAGGATGTGGAAGAGGGGCAGGCGAGGCAGCCACACTCAGTGTAACTTCATAGAAATATATGGTAATTTCTCTCTGATTTTTCTTTTTTTTTTTTTTTGCTTTTCCATTTCTCTAAAAATGTTTCTGTATCATATGAATCCTCCTTCTACCATTTGTTTCAGCGCCAGTGATATCATGGTAACATCCATGTCATAAAAGGAGTCAAAAGCAGTGTTGAATAATTGGAACACTTCTGCCATTGTCTAATATCAATTTATTTTCTAGCATTATTTCTTCTATGTTTTCTTCCTCCTCATCTGGTGCTGGTTCAGAAGCACTCATCTGCATCAAGTGGTCTTCTGTTAGTTCCTCTGTTGGGGTATCTGTTAGCTCTTGAATTTCTCCAAGATCCATATTTTGAAACCCTTTGCCTCAATGCCTCACCCATGATGTTTTTTGTTATATCCACAATCTCTTTCATGATTTTCTTGATTGGTTTTGTTGTAAATCCTGTGAAGTCATGTATAACATCTGGACAGTTTTCTCCAGCAGAAATTTGTATTGGGCCTCATGGCTTTTGCAGCTATTTCTATAGCAATGATGGCATCTTCAATGGTGTAATCCTTCCTGATTTTCATGATATTCTCTTTAATGGGATAGTCTTCCATAGTGCTGTCAGTTCTTTCCATATAGTGCCATGTGTAATGAAATTTACAGGTCCTTATGACTCCCTAATCTAGAGGCTGAATTAGAGATATTGTGTTTAGGGACAAGTAGACCACTTGAATGTCTTTTGGGTTTTAACTCATGGGGTTCTGGGTGGCCAGGGGTATTGTCCAATATCAAAAGAACTTTAAAAGACAGTTGCTTACTGACAAGGTACTTTCCTGACTTCAAGGACAAAGAATCAATGGGACCAATCAGGTTCCTGTTATTTAGGTTTTCTTGTTTTACAAGCAAAAGACTAGCAGCTAGTATTGATCTTTAGTCTTAAAAACTTGAGGTTAGCAGGTTTATAGATAAGGGCAGTCTTGATTTAAATACCCACACATATACATACATACACACACACACACAAAATAAACAAAACAATTTCGTTTGCATAAAACAGTAGAATTAGCCTATAACTTTCTGCCCGAAATTCTGATGTTCACTTTTCTTCTCTAGTAATAAATATCCTTTGTAGCATTTTTTTTTTCAGAATAGGGCACTTTCTTATGCATTAAAAACCCATTCATACAAATATCTTTTTTTCTCAGTGATTTTCTTAATGATGTCTGGGAACTTGTCTGCTGCGTCTTGATCGGCAGAAGCTGCTCCTCCTGTTATCTTGACATTTCTTTAAGCCAAACACCTTTCTAAAATTATGAAAGCACACTTTGCCAGCATTACTTTCTCAAGCTTTAGATTTTTCACCTTCCTTTTGCTTTAAGTTGTCACATAATGAGTTTGCTTTTTTAAAAATCAAATTTGAGTCCATGGGTATGCTTTTCTTACAGCAATCCTGCATCCACATAAAAGATGCATTTTCATTACAAGAAAAAAGAAGGTTATTTCACAAAAAGTACAAGGTTCTGTGTCTTTTGGTGTAGCTGCAGTGATGACTTCTTTACTTTTTAAAAATGGTCCTAAAATGCTGGATTCATTTATCTTGAAATTGTGGGCAATTGAAGTAGGTACTACTGTACCTCAATTTACAGTACTATCAAGCTATTCAATTTTTTCTTATAATTTCATGACTTCTTTTTTGTTTCAAGGAAAAAATCCGGCATCACTAGTAGCACTTTGTATGGGTCCCATGGTGTTATTTAAGGTTTATGATACTGCACTAAACATGATGAACAATATGCAAGAACTTCAGGAGATCACATTTTACTGTGATATCCAGTTTACTGGAGAGATGAACTGCTCATGCAGAGATGATTAGCCTCATGGGGTGTTTTAAGCAGATACGCACAGCACTTGAGCTCATCCCAATAGCAACAGGAGGTGGCCACAAAATTATTACAGTACTATAGTATGTACTGCAGTTAATTTTGTGCAGTTATGACTTAATGCTGCATTTTTATGTTTGTTTACATTTCTCTCTGCTGAGAATGGTGTCAGGTATGGTCTGTAAGTGTTTGCATAAGTTTTGATAAATTGTAACTTTTTATAATAGATTTGTGCTTAATTTGTAGTAGCACATGATAAAATAGTATCTACGTACATTTTATGCATTCATGACATGCCAATTTTTTTCTTATTTTTTAAAATATTTCTCATATATGTGATTCATCTTTTTACAAATTGTTGTAAATCTCCAAAAAGTTTTCTAAATACATTTATTGGAAAAAAATCACATATTATTGGGCCTGCATATTTCAAATCCATGTTATTCAAAGATCAACTATACTGTATTTCTAGGGTTTTAAAAATCACAAACCATGCATTTATTTACTATGGCAAATACTAATACAACTTAAGATGCTTTGTATCATGAGTAAATGCCCACATTTGCTTTTGTCACAGGAACTTTTTTAAGCCCGATATTTTACGTTTATTTAATATTACAGGAGGAGGATCCTATTCATCCTGTGGTTTTCCATATGCAGGGTAGATGAATTCTCCTCTATTCATCTGGCTGTTTTGGAAAACTTAAGTCATAAGCAGCAGGTATGTTTATTGTTTAAAGCTCATAACAAAATGTCCATTGCTTTATTTACTAAGGCTCTCCTAAACAGAAGAGTGCTCTTCTGTTGTGTGTTTACCTGCATGTGTAACAATACATTTAATATTGGATAATGTATGGTAGTTAGACATTTTCTTCTTGAAAAAAAATCAATCCATAAAAAAGTGATTTTTTCTTAAATGGATATTCTGAGATGCACATAAAAAGAGGAAATCCTATGAGCCTTCAATGACTACATGGAATGAGTAATCCAAATCATTTTATCCTGACTAGCTCTCTTTTAGGTGCAGGATTCCATTTTCAATGACAATACTCCTGGAAGCTAGGATATTATTCATCTGTATTATAAGTTTTTTTTTTTTTGGTTGTTACAACTTTTCTGTTTTAATCAGTGTGTTGACTATTTCAATAGAAACAAGGCACAATAAAGTTTGTAAATCCAGTGACATGCTACAGCTGGTTTACAAGATAGGATTGAAATATTTTCAGGAATTTATCAGGCTGGTTAAACTCTTTGTAACTTGAAATTAGCCATGGTTGGAGTATACACATGGATATTGGAAAATACTATAAATCAGAACTATTCCTGGTTAATATGACTACATATGAAGACCAAAGCACAGTAAGGGTTTCTGTTGTTAGACAAAATCAAACAAAAGGGAAATGTTTTTGACATAAACTATAGAATAAGAAGATATGAAACAAACATAAATATACATTGCATATAATAACAATTATTATTACTATTTTTGAGAAGGAGTCTCGCTCTTGTCGCCCAGGCTGGAGTGCAGTGGCGCACGATCTCAGCTCACTGCAACTTCAGCCTCCTGGGTTCAAGCTATTCTCCTGCCTCAGCCTCCTGAGTAGCTGGGATTACAGGCACTCGCCACCACATCCAGCTAATTTTTATACTTCTAATAGAGACGGGGTTTCACCATGTTGGCCAGGCTGGTCTCGAACTCCTGACCTCAGGTGATCCACCCACCTCGGCCTCCCAAAGTGCTGGGATATTACAGGCATGAGCAAATCTTCTCAACTATAATAAAATGGTCCAAAATGGAAATACTAATTCTCCCAACAAAAAAAGGGGAACATCCTAGATTCTTATCCTATTATTAAATCTATTTCCAATCCAGGATTTATTTGTGAATTCCCTAGGTCAGCTATGGATATAGCTCACCATGGTTAACTCCTCAACTTAACTCCTCCCAAGAAATCCCATAATACAATGATGGAGAGGAAACAGAAAATTCTAGTACCTTTGGTGAAGGGCAGAAGAATAAAGCAAATGGAGTAATCTTTAGTCCATAATTTATGAAAGACTAATTTCTTTTCAACATAGAAAGCAAGATCTTTGCCTTTGCAATGGATTTTAAGTCAGTTTGATTGATTTAGGTTTGCTCTCTTGTTAGATATATTTAAAGTCCACCTCTTGAAATATATGAGTGCATCCAGAAGAATTCTCTTTCAGAGGCTGCAGCCCATTAGCAGTATACTTTCTATTGGTATACACTTAAAGGTCTGGAGATTACCTTAGTTGTTAATTAAACCCAGACCTAATTACCAGTGTTGTTTCCTCCAATGACATACATTTCAAGCTGCAGTCTGCTGCTGGTTGATTACATGGCATCAATGGCCATAAGTTGGATGAGATATGGAAATGTTAACAACAGGCTTATCAAGACACTTTTATTAGGTCATACATGAAAATTTTTACAACATTTAAGCAATACCAGATGGCCTATGAATTTTTACCACAAATATTCATAGAAATAGATAAAATACAATTACTGTATTCTCTTTCCTTTTTTTTTTTTTTTTTTTTTTTTTGAGATGGAGCCTCGCCCTGTTGCCCAGGCTGGAGTGCAATGGCACGATCTTGGCTCACTGCAACCTCTGCCTCCTGGGTTCAAGCGATTCTACTGCTTCAAACTCCCAAGTAGCTTGTATTGCAGGTGCGCACCACCATGCCTGGCTAATTTTTTGTATCTTTAGTAGAGACGGGGTTTCATCATGTTGGCCAGGCTGGTCTCGAACTCCTGACCTCATGATCCACCCCCACCCCCCTCAGCCTCCAAAAGTGCCGGGATTACAGGCGTGAATCACCACATCCGGCCTTACAGTTACTGTTTTCATAATGATGTAAAAGAATCAATTTGCTTTCTGTTTACACTCTTGCTATTCAACTTATTTAGTAAACTAAATATACTTCTGTTATAGACTGACTATACTTCCCTGCCAGATTCACATATTGAGGCCCTAATGTGATGGTGCGTTTGGAGATGAGACATTTGGAAGGCAATTGGGTTTGAATAATGTCATGAGGATGAAGCTCCCATGATAGAATTGGTGCCCATATAAAGGGATGAAAAGCCCAGTGTTCAATCCAAACACCAGGTGAGGACAAAGTGAGAAACCAGCCATTTCTGAACAAGGAATCAGGCCTTCATCAGACACCAAAATTGCTGATACTCTGATCTTATGCTTCTCAACATCCAGAACTGTGAGAAATCAATGTTTGTTGGTTAGGCTGCCCAGTCTATGGTAGTTTGTTATAGCTACCTGGAAGGACTAAGAGAACTTCTGAATAAATTATCCAAGATACAGAAAGGCCCTAAGTATGCATGTGCTCATTATAGCATTATTTATATTCAAATAATAGTATTTAAATAGAGTTACGGGTTATGGATTTATTACATTTTCTAAGCATTTTCATAATGTTTGTGTAGGAAGTAGAAAATAGACTGTAAAATATGCAACAAAAAGCAGAACACAAATGACTAAATATGCAAAGTTGCAGCTATGTAAAATATGTGTATTGATAGGAACACAGACTAGAAGGACATTAGCTATACTGTGAATAGTATTATGGTGTGTGATTAGGTATGATTTTTATTTGTTCTAAAATATACTTTTCTGTTATAATTTATTTTATGATATCAAAATATAAACTGTAACTAATTTCTAATATGTTTCAAATTAATATACCAGTAAACGTAAAGCATTCCTAATTGGCTAGGTTTCCAAATAAAAAAAAAAACAATAAATTTTAGGTAGGGAGAAATCATGGCTAGTCTATAGTTTCAGGCCTGAAATAGTACTTCCTTCATAATTGCTTGAAAAGAACTTAGTCACGCAGTCACACATACAATCAAGTACTGCCTGGAAATGTTGTGACATGCCCAAGTATAATTACATTATTATGAAAGAAAAGAGAACAGATTTTAGAGGATAGACAGCAGTCACTACCAAAATGATGATCCCCACGTTCAAGTACTTCATGGAAACAACAGAATCTTGTGCCTTAAGAGACTAAGATGGGTAGGGCAACAGTGTATACTTATCAGTAACCAGTAAGCAAAGACTAATGATTAGTGACTGGGCACCTGTTGCTTTGGTGCTACCTAATACTCCAGAACACTCACCCAACTTTATGCCCAGTGAGTGAGAATGAATTTTCCATGAGCTCAGAATCATAAGCTTCATTCAGATTTATGCTAATTAAAATATTCACTGAATATTTGTATTTAGGAACTAAGATTCATAACCACTTCGTGGAGTTTATCGAAGAATGTGTAGTTTGCCAAAGTAGTTTAAACTTCGCAAATTTCTTAAATTTTTAAGCATTTGCTTCTTAATCCCTTGCATTTCTAATTTCTCAATAGGGTACAACTTTATCCAATAAAACTTATTACCCTAAATTAATTCTAAAATCTAATTCTAAATTAACATGAAGCATCATAAGTATGATTAGAAAGATTCCACATTAGTTTGCAACTCCATTGCTTAAATGTCTAGAGAAGTTTTCAGCCATGAGATTACAGAGAAAAGGGAAATCAGTATTAAATGTTTTGCTGAAACAAATGAAAAATTGCTCATTTTACCTCCATTCTACTATAAAAATAATTCCACTCTATCCAAAACAGTGAGGGGTTATAAGGTCGGTGAAAAATCTCAAAATTATTTTCATTGTCTAATAAATCCAAGCCTGCCTTTTCCTTCTGCTTCCTATGTTAATTTTATTGTACAAGTATGTTGAAGTTACTCCTATTTTTGATTCATTCAGTAATAAAGAAATTTAGGGGAAATAATTGTTTCCAAATATACATATATGGAATAAAGAAGGCAGAAAGCAACAGATTGAGCTTTATTCTCGAAATTTATTATGACTTTTTCCAAATTAACAAAATTACATAATGTAAAGAATGTGGAAATTTCCCCAAAATCAAATAAGCAGAAGAAAAATAAGCACTTGCAAGTCAACTTATTAAGAGATAAACAGTATAAACATTTAACATAATTCTTTCACATATTGAAATCTATGCATAAAGGTATATATATATTATTTGTTGTATTAATTGTAGTTACTATTGATTTTTAATATTATAGCATAAAGTTTATTAATATTCTAAATAACATTTTAAATGCCTGTGTAATATTATAAGACATTTCTAAAAATTACTTAATTTCTTAAAGAGCCAATAAGATGTAGGGAATAAGGGCTGTATATGTTTTGTGTCCTTGCTCTGCCCTCTTCCATGTTATATCAGGTAAGTTCATTATACTTTCTAAGGATACAGAAATCACAACAGGGGTTTGTGAAGTTTTAATAAGATATTCAATGTATATTGGAACAGTGTCTGGTACATCAGGAGTATTTAATAAATAATAGATGTTTTCATTAAGAACCTATAGTTACAGAATAGCTGATTAGCCTTAGTGAGAATGTAGTCGTTTAAAAAGCCGCATTGTATTAGTGCATGTTTACCAGAATTAAGTCTCACTTAACCTGATTCTAAGGTCTTCAAACTTTGCTTGCAACCAGTTCTAATTCCATAACAATCAGATTTACATGGATTCAAACTTTCAGTTGTTAGGTTAGTCTTCTGAGAGTTCTAGAGTAATTGTATCTACTAATAAACCCTCATTTAAATACGATTAAAATAAAACCACCAAAATAACAATGAAAAAAAAAAACCAACAAGAGGGTTCCTGTTCCTTAAAAGCAAAGACAGCCTAACTAAAATATAATTCTGACCTAAAAAGAGTTTAACAAGGATCTGATGGCATTCATTTGGAGAAAATGTACTCCCTTATTGCCCCATGAACCAAGAACAAAAGAATTAGAAAAGGGATAAACTGTATGAAAAAACAAACAAAATATTGTTAGAAATTCAGTTTCTGTAATTATGACAATGTTGTTGCAGGCATTGACTTATTTTATATTTATTTACTTCTTATTTTTTAACTAGTATATCAGTTTATATCCTCTATCTCACAAAACAGAGTTTCCTTTTCTTATAGCAATTAGACTGTAAATATAAATGAGTTTAAAACTTTGTTTTGCCTAAATTTAGTAACAAAGTCAATGTCAAACATAGTCTATTTCTGAAATGACTATGAAATAAAAACCTCTTCTTTATAAGGAGCAACATTTGAAATTCACATGAAGCAGTAGAATAAGAAAACAGCTCTGTAGGTTGGTAATATTTTTCTTCATTAATATGTGTCTGAAGACTTTTCACAGAAAAGTGGTATAGATTAATTAATCATTTATTAAGGCAATCTATAAATCCTCTTAAAACAAAAACAATTAGATAATTTACATCTAGTCTAATGGGAAAGTGTACATTGACCATACAACTTTTTAAAATGAAGATAGATTTCTTTTAATTAGCACAAATGAACAAAATAAATTTGTCTTCTGAATTTACAGCCTGAGTGAATAAGGCAAGCTTATTTTAAGAAGAAATTCAGGCTAATAATTAATTGGTACTTCAATTGAAAAGTTCATTTAATTTAATCCTTTACTATTTTATGCTTAACTCAATTGGGAGTCCAGAGATACTATTTAAAAAAAAAAAATTTAAAAAAGTTCTTTTTGACGGGTGCAGTGGCTCACGCCTGTAATCCCAGCAGTTTGGGAGGCCAAGGCAGGCAGATCACCTGAGGTGGGGAGTTCAAGACCAGCCTGACCAACATTAAGAAACCCCATCTCTACTAAAAATACAAAATTAGCCAGGCGTGGTGGTGCATGCCTGTAATCCCAGCTACTTGGGAGGCTGAGGCAGGAGAATTGCTTGAACCTGGGAGGCAGAGGGTGCAGTGAGCCGAGATCATGCCATTGCACTACATTGCACTACGGCCTGGGCAACAAGAGTGAAACTCCATCTCAAAAAAAACAATAAAAAATAAAAAAGTTCTTTTTCAAATTGCTGTTTCACTGTTATCTGTGTTTCACATTATGATTACGTGCTGCATTCAATAAGGTATGCAAATAATAATACATAATAGTATATTGATAATGATAGTAAATACACAGTAACACATTTATTTTTTAGTAATAAACTTTTTAGGAACTTTTTTAGATTTACAGAATAATGCAATGAGAGTACTGAGATTTACTGTGTTATTACACATCCTGGTTTTCCTACTATTGATATATTTCATTGGTATATGAAATGAACTGAATGTCTGTGTCCATGCAAAATTCACATGTTGAAATCCTAAGGCAAATGTGGTGTTAGGAGGGTGGGGCTTTTGAGAGGTAAATTGATCATAAGGGTGGAGCCCTCATAAATTGCATTAGTACCTTTATTAAAAAGAAAAACAAAAACCAGAGAGTTTTCTTGCCCTCTGTCCACCATGTGAAGATTCGATGAGAAGATAAAGGCAGTCTGCTTAGTACCCATAAGAGGGCCCTCACTGAGACAGGAGAATTGGGAAAGCGAAGCAGGAAAATAGGAAAAATGAGGCAGGAAGAAAGCAAAAGGAATTAAAAGTTGAATACAGGGCAGAATGAGTAAAAGGAGAGAGAGAAACAAGGTAAAGGTGTAGGTGAGCAAGAAGCAAGATAAGAGGCAGAAGTTAAGCAGTCAAAACACAGAGAAGTGAGTAAGGACCCCATGGCTGGTGGGATCCAGACCAAACCAGTAAGGCGCAGTTCTTCAGGAACAGGCATGTGCATTAAAGAGAAAAAGTAGCCTTAACATGATCCCATATGACGATCAGCATGTTAAAGCTCATGCATATGGAATGCATATCAGGCACCTACTTAAAATTATGGGATAGAGGCAACAAGCAAGTGCACAGGGACCAAATTAACTAAGCAACACACTTATCAATCAAAAGGTAGATAGTAGCTAGAAATTAGCCAGCCTTGGGAAGAGAAGGAAAACAACACATAAAAAGACCCAAAATATACCAAACTCATGCTGATCTCATGTCTCATCTCACAGAGGTCAGTCCACTCTTCCTCTTCAAGGGCGTAATACTGTGCTTAAAAAACTTTTGCTGCCTTGCTTTGTTATCTGTGTGTGTCTCATCCATTTCTTTGTTCGTGACACCAAGAACTTGGAACTGCATGGCATCATCCTGTAACATCACCAGAACCCAACCATGCTGGCACCCTTATCTCAAATTTCCAGTCTCCAAAACTGTGAGAAATAAATATCTGTCATTTCCAAGCCACTCAATTTTTGGTATTTTGTTACAGCAGCCTGAATTGACTAAGGTGGTATGGAACACTTGTTACAATTAAGGAATTATTATAGATAACTATTGTTAAAGTCCATAATTTATTCATATTTTCTTGGTGTTTTCCCTAATGTCCTTTCCCTGTTCCTAGATCTTATGCAAGACACTATACTTAGTTATCATATCTCCTTGGGCTCCTCTTGCTTGTGATGTATGTTAATTTTTAAGAGCTTAGGTTTTTACATGCAAGTTCCATGCTAAAAAAAAAAAAGGAAGAATTATATTCTCCTTTCTCATGCAAACTAATTAAAATACATGGAAGAAGGTAGTCATCAAATTCCCAAACTGATATTGTAACTGAGTAGCTTAGCTTCAAAATGCATTTTACAATTTTTTTCTTTTCTCTAGCCTTAGCCTTGAAATAAACTTTGAAACTCTTTGTTTTCCTCCACTTCCACTGGAGACTCCTTATACTGTGTTAACTTATCTAATTATATGCATGCTTAGAAATTCCAGGGGCTAATCTTGAAATTCATCAGGTATGAAGATCTAGCTGCAGAATCCTCCCCCATCTAGAGATTACCACAAGGCAGTTAATCTAAAACCAGGCCATTTTTGAGATAGCACAAGCCCACAGTCCTGGTGGACAATAACCCAAGATAGCCATCAGAGAGAGGTATGTAGATCTTGTATTATCCTGCACCTCTCCCACATACTGTCATGCCAAGTTTTCCCTTTTTAACTCCCTCATTCAGCTCAAACTTTGAACAAGTATTTTGTTTTATTTATTTTTATTTTTATTTTTTTGAGATGGAATCTCACTCTCTGTGTCGCCCAGGCTGGAGTGCAGTGGCACGATCTCGGCTCACTGCAAGCTCTGCCTCCCAGGTTCACACCATTCTCCTGCCTCAGCCTCCTGAGTAGCTGGGACTACAGGCACCCGCCACCACGCCCGGCTAATTTCTTTTTGTATTTTTGGTAGAGACGGGGTTTCACCGTGTTAGCCAGGATGGTCTCGATCTCCTGACCTCATGATCCTCCTGCCTTGGCCTCCCAAAGTGCTGAGATTACATGAGTGAACCACCGTGCCTGGCCAAAAAAGTATTTTAAAGGCATGAGCCTGGCCATTTCCCAATTGCTAGCCTTTGACTAATAAAACTACGTTCTTTTCACAGTATCTTGCTCCTCCTGTTTTGACTCCCAGTGATGAGCAGCTAGATTTGCATTCGGTTACAATATACCTATACTTCCAAAAAGTAAGGAAGAATGATTAATATGGTAAAAGCCACTAGCTTTCTTTCACTTGCCATCTCTCCTTCCATATAATAGATCATTCTGACTTTTAGCTAAGCACACAGCTATCTAACTACGGTCTGGATTTTCCAGCTCCCTTGTAGCTATGTAAGACAACTATGACTAAGTTAGGCCAATGTGGTATGAAAGAAAGTAACGTGGAAGCAACTTTCAGTTTAGCTCCTTCAAATCCACACTGTGATGTCTTCTTTGTCCATGGATTAATGAACTCCCTGCACTCAATAAGGATAAAGACACAAACCTAGGAAATGAAAGAGCTACAAGATGGAAAGGGTCTGGATTTCACAACTTCATAGAACAGATTTTCCCACCATGCTCTGTACTATCCATCTCCAAGCTATTTTAAAAGGAAGAAGTAAACTTCTATGTTATTTAAACCCTTGTAATTCTGGGTGTCTGTCATTGCAATTTATTATGCACCATAACTGATAGATCCCATAAAATAGATGGCTAGATATTCACATTTTAAATACACAAATTAAAAAGACTACATTTAAAAATATTAATGAGCATATTGGCAATAATGAAATAGTTAATGTTAAGTTATATCAACAGCAGTCATTTTATAATGCTTGGTTGAAGAGCTTTGAAAAATAAATTAATTTTTATGTAGAACCTCATATCTAAATTTCTGTAGGTGATAAATTCTATACTTGAACCATTTGTTTTCCTCCTGTTAATTATAAATGAATAAAACACAAATTTATTATGAAATGAATTTCAAAACTGCCTTGCTTTTTTCAGTGAATTTGAAAGTGGCTGCGTCTAAACCATTATTTGCCTTAAAGTAAAAGACATTTTTAAAAAATCTTAATGCAAGAGACCTTAGAAGAAAAGGCCTTTGACACTGGTAGCATCTATGCAGCTTTCTGTAACAGCAGTCTTCTGTTACTTCATTAAATGTTTAATTTTCACAATATGCTAGTGAAAGCATTCAGCGTTGGAACAACAAGAATAAAAATAGAAGGATATTTTTGTGCATACTATTTGGTGGACTGTATTGTGACTGTGTCTTAGAGCTGAAACCACTTGAACATTCCTTGTCATTTTGATCTTGGCACTGTCCCTGAGGCTACTTAATTGGTTGTATAACCAAGGTGTCAGCTAAGAGGTTCCTGCTCCTTGGAGAACTAGTTAAAATGGGCTGGAAAGTCCAATTTTTATAGTCTGTATAAAGCCTTCCTGACAACCTGCTTGTTTCTGGGGACTTTATAACATTGAGCTTAATCTGCTGCTACAGTTTCATCTTCCATCTGCCATGTCACTATAACAGGAATTTTAGCTCCTTTTCTAGATTTCAAAATAAATCCAATTGCATTTTGTTAGTTTTATCACATTGTTAAAAGGGTTGTGAGAATTAAAAGAAATCTTGTATTGGACTGAATAGCCTAAACACAGTAGCTCCATCTTTCTTTTCACTTTGAGAATATATAGTAATTTAGCTATCACTAGCTCAAATATCCAATTTACATTCCCAAATGCATCAAGATTCTCAGAAAGAACAATAGTCCTACAGGTATCTACACCCCTTAGAAAGTAGCTAGAGTCAGATATAATACCCCGACCTTTACCCTATTTAAATAAATTTGAGGACACTGTAATCTTAAGGGATTTGTTGGTCAGGACCAGTGACTTTAATGCAAGAATGGACATTATGATAGGATAGGTAAGTGGAGTAGCTAAAAGATTGTTTATGAGCCAATCTTAGAACCAGGTGAATAAGACGTGCAGGTAAATAACTAATGGCTTATATATTACTGTTTGATTTAACAAAAAATCTTTCAACCATTCTGAATTCAGTAACTAAAATCTATTAAGATTATTTACAATAACCAGGCATGCTATTTTCTTTCTTTGTTTATTTGACTCAGCTATACATAAATGTCATTTTGAATATCAAAATGTTTAAATATTAGTAATTTCATATAGTTCAATATAATAGGTAAGCAAAATTTTTCTCTTCTCCTCTCTCAATTTATTCTTATGCTTTTACTAACCTGTAGGTATGCCACGAAGATTCATTGCCCAAGATTCAGGGAAAAGTTGGAGATATATGCATCAAGTGAGGGTAAAATTCAAGATGATAAGGCACAAAAATTGGCTTAGGATAAAGAAATATGGTGCAGGCAATATAGATGCTTGCCGTGATTCTGCTACTTAGGAAATCTTATGTAATAAGTGCTCTGGCAAGCTTCCACAATAGAATCATGGAAAAGGGTAATGAAGTTCAGGACATGCTACCCCAAAATATGACACGTGGGCATTTGAAGAAACAGCAGAAGCAGGAAGGTCATTCTCTGACCTTCTCCATCCCTTGTCCTCTGAAGTAGACTATGAAAGAATTAACTGGCTTTCCTCTGAAGTGGACCATAAGGTCCTCATTCCAGAAGTACTTTCCACATAATGAGAGAAAAGAATGCCCTAATCTCTGAAGACACATGGAACAGAAAGAATAGTCTAAACTAACAGGCCTTGCTAAATGCCACCTTCCCACCAGCTTATTACCATTAGGTGACACTTTTGTTGTCTTCTAATAATCCTTCTTCACAACTATCAAATTCTTCATCAAACTTAGCATAAAAATACACAGTTTTCCCTGTTTTGGGGGTCTTCAGTTCTGAAGGTTCTTGGGTCATGTAAAACTTACACTAAATACATTTGTTATGCTTTTCTCTTGTTAATCGATCTTTTGTCACAGGTGTCTTAGCCAAGAACCTAGCGATGGGTGAAGAAAAGAAATCTTCACTCCCCTACAAGGGAAATAAAGGCTGTTCTTTTTAAATATGAAATCATAATTGTTCCTGTGGTGAATCTGCAGAGTAACCAGCCTTCTGCTGTATTCATTAGAACCTGGCTCTAAGTCATGCAAATCATTAACATTATCCAGAGTGTTTTTAAACAGGCAAAAAGCTATCAGCCTCTTTTGTCAACAGAAATACCAAATATTATGCTTCATAGGCCAAAGGAAAACAAGAGTTCTTGCAAACATAGACAAGATACTGTGGGCTTGAGGTATTACTTCCTAGGCATCAAAGAAAGTCCTTTCATTTTCTAGGGAATGTAAAAAGTCCATCCAATTGCTTTCTGACAGTGTCCCCATTTGAACCGTGATGCCCAGAGAGAAACAAAACAGCCTGTCCCACTATTTAGACTCAATATTCAGTCTGGAACAAACCTCAGAACCTGACACCAGAAAAGACATCCAGGGAAATAAAGGAGGTCATTTGTACAGGCTCTGTGAGGCAAGAAAATCTAAAATTCAGAGAAAAACAAACTAGAACTTATGAGAAATCAACAGAAGAAGTCAAGAAACACCATTACAAGGTACCATAAGTTGCTCTACAGAGGTCAATTTTGGTTTTTATTTTTTCTCTCATTTGGGAGGATGAATATTCAGCTTAAATTAGATCTAAGCGGAAAGAGAAAATCACCATGGAATATATCTGTGCTGTGGGTCTCATTACTGAAAAAGATGCCCTGAAAAGTCTCCTTCAGTTATGCAAACGGAGGCCTTGTGGAGTCCATTTGCTTGAGAGAAAGCTATAAGAAGAAGTTTGATGTCTAAGTGGCTTGCCCTAAAAGAATATGATGGATAGGAAAACAAGTGAAGATTATAACCTTCTGGAAAAGAAGGATCTGACACCCCAGCTGCCATTTCTGAGATTAGAAGTTGAGGAACACTCTCATATAGACAAATATTATCTTAACCAAGACAGGGAGCTCAGTAAAACCAGACTGAGAAAGGCCATAGGGCTGTTTCAGGGATGAAATTCAAAATACAAAAAGGTTAAATAAAAAATCTGGGTCCTCTAGGTAGACACTGTTGAATCTGTGCCAGTTCTCCTTATCTTACTTTATAATCTGTCAGGCGAATGTAAGTTGACAAAGCTGGCTTCTAGCTGTTGCATCATGAGGGCGTACCATTTTTGGTGCATTGAGTACTTACTCTCCAGGAAGACTGGACTATGACATTCAACTTCCCTTACAATGACTTTCAACTTTGACTGTATATTAAAATTTTCTGAGGGGACTTTGAAAAAATCCCAGTGCCCAAACTGTCTTAGAATTTGTGCATGTGGGACTCAGTAATCTGTGTTTCTAAAAGCACCCAAGTGATTTCAATGCAAGAAGAGGTTGAAAACCACCATTTTACAATAGTCCTACTCAGTATTTGAAGTGCTAACTAGCCACCAAAGGGTCTTGTAAAAATGCAGATTCTGATTCAATAGGTTAAGGGTGAAGCCCAGAATTTTACATTATTAATTGGTTCCCAGATGATACCTAAGTAGCAAAGTCTGAAAGAATCTGTTGTGAACTTCACCTCTTCAGCACCTGTGAGAGGAGCTGGTTCAGTGGACTTAGACTCTGATGCTATGTTTCCATACCAGCCTTCAGGTGACGACACTTATAATTGACTTACGAAGAGATTTCAAAACTTGACTATCAACCTACTGTGGTATAGTAAGTTTTCGTTTGCCACCACATAGTGAATCCCTTACTGATGTCTTGCGGTTGCTTGAGGACCATGCTCCCTCTGTTCAATGGGCAGCCAGTTCTCTCATGGGCCCTGCACCTGGCACGTCTCCTGGTTTACCATCACATCCTTTGCTTCACCAGCTGCCTCTGTAGGTAGAAATTGCATGTCCTTTGATGCATGTTTCATTGTCCCACCAGGCTTCACTTAAAAACAAGACAGAAGTCTCAATAATTTTAAAATGACGATGGCAGATCATTATACCAAATACAGGTCCCTTCTCAGTATACGACCATGTGAGATTGCATAGGTCACACACCCAGGAAGCTGACCCTATTCTTCAGTCTTCAGTGGCAATGTTTCTAACCTGACCTTCGACTTTTTCCTAGTTTTATTTTAAAACTAGCTTAAGAATCTTTCCTCCTACATTTTGCTGGACTGACACACAGAAAGGCCTAATTCTGATAAACTATTTCTACTAATTATACTACTAATTCTGAGATCTACATTTTTTGCACTACTGAGACGAGGAAGTTAGTCCTTATCATTCATACAAAAAAAAAAGGTAAGCAAACCTAATTAATTGCACCTGGAAAAGGCAGGGTATTGCATATTCCATATTGCATCTGCTGACTCTTGCTGTTTTCCATTTTGAACTTCTTCCTCTTCCTCTGACCCTAGCAAGTTTCTGCCCTCTGACAGGAATTGAGTTTACAGATCTTATTTGACAACACATATGTCAAAGAACGATGTATTGCCCAAATGGCCTGTAACTATGTTCCTCTCAGGAGGGAAGTAATATTGGGAAAATACATTCATATTTCACTTGAAAATAAATGAAAGCTTAGGTTATGAACTTAAGCAGGAAGCAAGACATCAAAGAGAAAGTTTGTAACTGGTAACAGGTGACAAAAGATAGGAGAGACTTAGTATATATGTGTGTGGCTTTGTTAGCTAAGATGAAGAATTTGGATTATTTTTAAAATATGCAAGAAAGCCACTGTGAAGACTACAGTAACATAACTTGTCTTAAATGTTTTTTTTTTTAATTGCTCTGACTGTTTTCAAGAAGAGTGAGTGGAAAGAGACTGTCAAGAAGAGAACCAGAGAGAACATTTAAGGCAAAAATATCAATATTCAGATAAAAGATGGTGGCTTAACTGAAATTGACAACAGAGGAAACAGGGACAAGAGATTCCACTCCAGTTGTGGAGGTGAATTAAACAAAATTTAAATGAATAAAATATGAACTAAGGAAAAAAACTGGATTTCTTGTGTATATTTATGGGTGGATGATGAGCTATTTTCTGACATCAGGAAGAGGGAAGAAAGATGAGACCTGGTGTGAAGGAAGACAGAAGGAAGAATATGATTTATTTGATAAGTAAATAAACCTATTGCATTACCACATGGTAATACCATGTAGGCAGTTGCATATTTCAGTTTGGAATTCCAGGAGATGAGAAGACCAGGAAGAGTCCCAATTCCTTGGGACTAGACGTAGTGATCTAGAGGGAGTATATGAATAAAAAAAATAGAAGCCCCAGGACTGAGATCTGGATCATTCCAATTTTGGAGAATAAATAGAAGAGATCCCGGAAATGTAATTAAGAAAGAGTGAACATTGACATATGAGGAAATTCAAAGATGTGGCATCACAACTACCAAGAGAAAGATGTGTTTTTAGGGAAACAGGGAAACATGATGAGATTAAATATATAAATAAATAAAATAATAATCTCATGTCCCTTGATGCATTATCTCACCTCAAGTATCTGCTCCCTCATTCTTGTGCAGTGCTCTTTGGTCTCCCCAGTTGTGACTGAAGTGGGCTCAGATACAGCTTGGGATATACTTGCCAGAAAGCAGAATTAGTAAATCTTCATGGCGTTTGCATACTGCCAACTCTGTAGGTGCATAGAGTACAAAAGCTGTGGAGGCATGGCTTTTTCCATCTACTTTGCAAATAGTGTCTCATGGAGCCTCAAGTGTGAGGCAAAGAACCATCACAGTGGTGGGGCTGCCCTTTCCAATGTTTAATAGAGCTGTGGATGCAGTGCTGCCCTTGAGAACCCAAAACTGTAGAACTACAAGACTGCAACAGCAGCCTGGGAGAGCTGCAGGCACTCAACTCCAACCCATGAGAGCTGCTGTGTAGGCTGCACCGAACTCATGGGGATGCGGTGCTTTAGAGCCTTAGGGTTGGAAACCCTTCTCCAGTTGTTCAGAGGCAGGAGTACATGGAGTCAAAGTTTATTTTCAAACCTTAAGATTTAATGTTGTTTACCTTGTTGGGTTTTAGACTTGGGATCTCTTACCCTTTGTTTTTCTGAATTTCTCTCCTTTGAAATGGGAATGTCTATCCCATAATATTTTAGAAGTGTATTACTTGTTTGGTTTCACAGGCTCAGAGCTGGGGGGGGGCAATTTGCCTTAGGATGACTTTTGCCTTGAGTTCCACCGATATCTGCTTTAGAAGAAACTGTAGATTTAGACTTTGAAGTTGATGCCAGAATGAGTTAAGACTTTTAGGGCTATTGGGATGGAATGAATGTATTTTGTATATAAGAAGGATATTAATTTTGAGGGCCCATGGGAAGACCATCATGGTTTGAATATATGTGTCTCTCTAAAATTTATAAGTTGGAATTTAAACCCCAATGTGATAGTATTAAGAGGTGGGGACTTCAGGAAACAATTCATTCATAAGGGTGGAGCACTCATGAGTGGGATTATTGCCTTATAAAAGGACTGGAGAAAGCCAACTAGATCCTTCTGCCCTTTTACCCTTCTGTCCTTTTGTCTTTCTGTCTTTCTGTTCCTTCTGCCATATAAGGACACAACTTTCATCCCCTCCAGAGGACCCAGCAACAAGGCATCACCCTGGAAGCAGAGAGCCAGCCTTCAGCAGACAGTAAATCTTCCAGTGCTTTGATCTCAAACTTCCCAGGCTCAGAGCTGTGAGAAATAAATGGCTGCTGTCTATGAATTGCCCAGTCCAAGGTATTTTGTTATAGCAGCAGAAACAGACTAAGAGAGATTCTCATGACTTTCATTTTCTCAGTGAAGTGTAAGGCAAGGTCATCACTGGAGGAATAGGAAAAAGAAGGAGTTATGAAAAATTAAGGGAAAGGATAATCTTTCCCTTCTTAATTTGTCATTTTAGAGAATGTTAAAGCATATTACAAGGATGTATTAAGTATTAGACTCTGTTTAGTGTCCATTTTTTATTTATGTCATTAATTTTAAGTGAGACTGGCCAATATGGTCATGGGATTTTCTTTCCAAATCTGTTCTGCTAAAACACTCAGGTATTTGGTTTAACTAGGTAAAAGACTTTCCAGAAGTATGTTGTGAAAGATAAGTGTAAGGAAGTTTAGACATTTTCAAAGCAGAAGTTAGTTATAACTACGGGCTAGAAACTTTAAGTTGTGTAAGGATAGGAGAGAAGTGTGGGCAAGATGGGGATTTTTGACAGTAATAAAATAATTGAGTAAATGAGTTTGAGTTATCTGTGTGGTCAAAGACTTGCTAAGTTTAAATATATATAAAAGCATAGAATTGAGAGTTTGAAGGGCACAATATAAGATTAGGCATGTAAGATAGAAATGAGAAAAAAATGGCTATTTGAGTGATAAGATCAGTTTATGGATTTATCATCGACTGGAATGCTGAAATCACAAAAGTCAATGATAGAAAACATAGTTGGAAATAAAAGAGAGATGTTGTGTGTTAAAATTATCCATGAACAAGTGAAACCTCAGAAGCTTGGCCAGTGGTAACAATAAAAATATTGGTAGCTGAACAAATCTTATAAAATGTAAATCTAAACTAAGCTTTTGGGACAAAAATAGGTGACAAATACAAATATGTATGCCATTAAAGATGCAGATACATTAACAGAGTAACTCAAATTCCAGAAAATTACCCTAAAGCAATACACAGAAAGGAACATAAAGATTTATGTATATTCATGCTCAATGCAACATTACTTAAGGTAAAAATTTAGAAACTTAAATGTTCATCAAAAGTGAAATAAAATAATTTATTCCATTGAAAATCACATTTCCTAGATTATTCAATACAGAGAGAAAATGCTTATGGCATGGAACATGGAAAAAGGTAGGATATCTATCTCTATAAACAAATAAGTTTCAATTTTATAAGATATATTTAATTTTAAAGATAAATATGAAACCATCCTACATTTGGTTAGTAAAATTAATTTTCCTGTCTTATATTCTGTGTTATCTAAATTATGAAAAAACATGAATATTATAGTAATTTTTAAAATAAAGTTTTAAAATTATGGAGTACAAACTAATAAAATAATAATTTACATACATTCATTTCTCTCAACATTTCATTTTTTAAAGATACTATCCACTTTTCTGGATTTAAATTTAAGAATCAGCCTTCTCTAATATAAAAACAAAATTTTTTTAATGATACAGTGATAAAAATAGTTTTAATTAAAATTCAAATCTGATTTTATGAAAAGGGTTTCATCACCATCTGAGCACAGTGTTGTAAATATATTTGACCACATTTTCTATTATGTAATGATAAGAAGGGACACTACTCATGGATGATTTTTAACCCTTCTGCCTTAGAAACTGAGGCAAAGCTGAATAGTAAACATTTTATTTTGAAGAGTGGGATTCTGAGAGAATGATTGTGAGATGGGAAGCTAAGCAGACATGAAGGAGAGCCAGTCAAAGGTGCATTATTTAATTGGTCAACAATAGGAATGACTTATATAACTCAAATCCCATAGAAACACATATGGAACTATATGAAGTGTGTCTCAGAACTTCCTCTCTGGGAAAATTGAGGAGGAATGGTTACCCATGGGCTCCTGCTCTCCATTTGTCAGTTTCATCCACGATATTATTTACATTTCTGAACCTCCAGGCTTGTACCTAGATAAGACATCCCCAAACATGGATTTCCCTTTGGCATCAACAGAGAAGCCCTGAGGCAAGAAGAAAGAGACATGGGGCCTGAAGCAGGCTGGAGTCTGCAGAACTGGTAACCATAGCAGTGTCTGGGGTGAGACTGATGTAACACGTATACACATATACTTCCTAGGTAAATTGGGCTGCAAGGAGCTTTTCTTTAACCCCTGAAGACACTAATACAAATCATACCTGGGGACTAGTATCAGCTATCATTTCCAAAAATAATTCCAAATATGCCAATCATAGACAACCATTTAGAAACACACATTTTATTAAAAGGCTATATATATTTAAATAGATGCTTTATATTCTGTCATTTTCTTCCAAGAGCAGTTTTAATAAAGGCACAGAATTACATAGTGTATCTCCTGGTCATAGATTACTAGATATTCTAGAGCTCTCTGAGGTAGGGTTGATATGTCAGCTATTTGCTGGTTATATATGGATAAAATTCTAATGATCCATAAAGTAAACAGCCATTCAAGATGATTTCGAATGATGTAAACATGCACACACACACTTCTTGTATTAGAGCTTTTTAAAAACTTTAATAGAATAATTTAATAGAATAGAGCTAAACCCACAGCATATATTGACAGCTATAAATGGAAATTTTGACACTGATCATTTCTTCTTTCAACTTTGATCCTCTCCCTATTTTGCCTGAAATTTTAAACTATAGACACAGGTTCTTTTCACAAGACCATTACTTTATTCTCTGTCAGTGTTTCTCTATCACATTTAAGGTGAAAATGTATTAAATATAACTAAATGGCTGGACCTTGAATAATACTAGAATTTCTAGGCAATATATTGATAAAAATATTCTGTATATTTTACCTGCCTTGAAATGCCTAATGCCTAACCCAATAAATTGTTGATCAAATTTTATGTACCCTTGGATAGAAAATATTTCAATGGCACCAACTGACAGGTGTAAAAACTAAGATCTAGAGAGGTTGTGTCATCAAAGATCATATGACACAATAGAGGTAGAGTTCCAAAAATAAGTCAGATATCCTCATTACAAATTCTTTCCATCAGGACTCTAGGACTTTAGGTGACACAAAAGCCATTTAAAATGCTCTCTATAAAAAAAGACCTATTGGCTCTTAACAACTTAAAGGCCCTAAAAGTGATACTGATGGGACTAAATTTAGGCATATCTAGAACCAGCCATTAAATATTATCAGTCAATTTCTCAGCAGAAAACACACGAAACAATCAAAATTAGGATACTTTTTGAATTTTTTTTTAATTGTGTGTGTGTGTGTGTGTGTGTGTGTGTGTAAGTTTAACAAAAATCTGTGTTAGGCAAGGCATGGAGAAATCCCAAGAATTTATTCAGTGGTACCCAAGTACCATTACTGCATCTGAAGTTATTGAAAGTAGTAGTTACAGAATCACAAAACAGATAGGAATGTGTAAAGGGTTTAGGCATTAACTTTAGGGACACACTCCATCCCAGGGTGACGTCTCCTTCTCTGGAGAGGCATTCAATTAAAAATACCTAACCTGATTTACCTCCCTTCTCTAATGACCTGTAAAGTCTTCTCATTTTACAAGTGGAAGTCAGAGGGTAAGGGATCCCATTGGTATAACCCATAAAGGTCAGCCTCCTAAGGGAGGTGAAGAAGATTACAGAATGTATCCGGAGAAACAAACAGAAGATATCTAGTGTTGACCAGTAGTAGTCTTGTCTATTGGATGAAAAATCTATATCCATTACGAGAGAAAAAAAGCAAAATCTCATCAGCTACCAGGTCTTCATGGTACCAATGTCACCATATCCTAGTCCTATCCCTGAAAACTAAAACAGCATCAGTTTTTTTGTTTTGTTTGTATTTTCCATATAGAGTAGCAAGAGGCAAGGGGTTGAATAGCAGTCCCCATATTAATGAAGCATAGCTGCTATAATCCTTGCTTTCTGCAGCAGGTTGGCATAGCTTGGTAGGCATAGCTTCTTTCTTTCGCCATCCATTTCATGATCTTATCCTGGGTCAGAATATTGGCTAAACGGTGTTCTTTACCCTAATCAGCTGACCCAAGTCTCAATGCATATGATTTGTGTGGGGTTCTGTCTTCATTAAGTTGCAATGTATTTCCATTGACCAAGATTTTTGAGTAAGGGGATACTCACAGGTCCCCCTGGGATCTAAATATAGTCATCATTTCCCCCATATGGCAAAACTCAGCCTTTTCCTCTCCCTTTCCTGCTGCAACTCTGGACTGACCTTCATGCTGGTTCCATGTATCTTGACTTCCTCTTATTCCTGCTCTGCTTCTTCTCTCACACCATTGCTCTTCCCTTTTGTTATCCCACCCTTTCCTAAGCACATCTTTCTCACTGGACAATACTCCCTCATAAGTTTTATAAAGTAGGTGGGGATGATGAATAACCCATAGTCGGAATATTTATAAACCTTGTCCAAAATCTGATTCTTCATAACTATCCCTGTGAACTTTCCTTTAAGATTTATTGGCAATGAATCCAACTGTCTAAACAATCCATCTCTGATTTCTGAGATTGCTTAACTAGCACATTCCAAATATACTTTGGTCTCAATAGGGGTGAAAATACCACAGCTGTGCAATCTTCTTTTTTGGTGAATGGTCTTAAATGTGACTTGACAGGTTTAGTTAGAAAATAGAAGATAGGATTGCAGACAGTTGACTCTGAATTACAAGACCTTGCTGAGAAAATAGAAGATACTTTGACTCAAAAAAACAAAAAAAAGAAAAATTGTAGACCAAATTAATAACTTCTTAGATTGAACAAATAGATAAACTCAAAACAAAGGATAATATTTCTAGACATAGATATCAGTTGATATTTGATATAAAAGGAATACTAGGAGAAAATTATCCTGTCTCAGAAAGATATAATCTAAAACACAAAGGACAAACTTTGTACAACATGACATCCCTCTAAGTATATCTATCCAGTGTAGTTTTCCTACAATTGCCTTAAATACAAAAAGGAGACATTTTTCTGGATTTGCAAAAAAAAAAAATGTTTTATTTCTAGTTGATAAAAAGGCCATACTCTCTACCAGAAACCCTAATATTGTTCCACATTCCTCTTTCCTTCAGGTGTCCCCCCACCCCACACACAAAAACTAGTAGAACATACTTCAAATATCACTCTGACAATGCTTTTGTCTTAGCTACTTTCTGACTCTGCAACTAACTGACAATCTCACTACTCATGTGCTTTTCTGCTCGATTATCCTATTCCAGTGAATCAATTGACACAAGATCTACTTTGTAACTTGGATGCCACCATTAAATATGCCAGAACTTCCCCTTTCTGGAATTGCAGAAGAGAATCTCTGGCCAATTATTTAATCATGGCTCAGATTAACCACTACTTGATGCTTTATCATTTTATACCTTAAATATTTTTCCTATTGCCTCCAAGCCAAATATGTTTCAGATGTGGAACACTTACTGGAGGCTGAACCAACTGGTTTATTTATGCCCTTATTGTAGTCATTCAAAAGCCAAAGGAAAGAGAGGCTCTTAAAGACTTTGGACTATCATATCCACATATCTATAGAATGGACTCATAATCTTCGACTGACCAAGTAATACCCCTGCTCTACCCATCAAATAGACAAATTTTTGCTGTTATTATTTTGTACATAATGTAGGACCCATTGAAAAGACTATTCTTTCTCATTTCTCTGCAGTCCTTTACCCTAATATAATCCTATGTTCGATCCCAAAGATAGCTGCTGAATTTACAGTGTAGATATGTATGCTCTGGATTCTCTTGCATGCAGATTAAATTATCTATTTGTAATCAATTGAGAAAATCAATTAGACAGTTATGATTATCAGATTTTGCAGCAATATTTCTTGCAATCATTTACGTATAACCTTGGAGACATTCCATTTTTTAGGACCCTAATCTTACATATGTGGCTGTTGTTTCATTATACTTTCCACACTGAGAATCTGTGGACATGCTTCTATTTGCTTACAGTAATAAGAAACAAAAAAGGCAAAATCTTTAAAGATAAACTTCACTTTTGTCAGTCCCAAGTGGTTTTCAAGATTGTGAAATCTATAAAAAGCAAAGTCTCTTTCTCCTCAGACTGGAGTATATTCAAGACTTTCCCCAGGCAATAATCTAAAGACAGCTTAGATTTAGAGAGTGTAGATACTGGATTCCTAACTGCTTCCAACTGGAAGCCACTTTTTATGATCTAACGCTGTCATACCTTGCCCTTGAAAGATGCACTAAGATTTTCTTTTGAAGCTCAAAGCTATTCCTCTCAACCCTCACTCCCACCTTATATACTCAGACTTCCTTACTACCATCCTTTTTTTTCTATTTGCATATTAAAGATTGGGAAAATGAGAATATGAGGATTCTAACTCAACAGTACAATGGCCATTACAGACTCAATGCTTATGGGTCTTACTCTCTTACTTGATCTATAATAAAAGCCTGTTTGTTTTCTAGTAGTGAAAATAGCCATAATTAACAGCAGAGTTAACTGAGACCTATATGTACTTAATTCTTAGGCTCCCTACTTAACCTCATGCTCTCTCATGTAGCTTAGACTTTAATTTAGAATAAAATCATCTACCATTTTTATGTATCTAAAATGATCCCCTAGGAAGCACTTCTCTTTTTGCTCACACATATTTCTATCAATTGTTACCGCACCTTAACCTGTTATTTTTCTTCCTTTGGTAAAGGAGGGCAAATCTCCTGACTGTCATACACTTATTCAGAAATTTTCCTTGCCTCACTCTGCCCTCCCTTAAACTCTGTGTTCTCCATCCAATATTAAATGCTATGGGTAGCCATTCACTTGACAAACAATTTAGATTCAATTATAATACAAAGGTAAAATTGATGAGAGCTGTGAAGGCAGTCATCAATAGAGATCTGAGACTTCAACCAACACTTTCAAGAATTTTGAAGTATTTGAGGCTTAACGCTACTTGCAAGCATCAAGTTAGCCTGCCAGAGTTTCATGGATAATTGCAGTAAATACAGAACTCCTGGGTCAGGAAGAAAGGACAGAAAGGATTATCCACATCAGTAGCCATGATCTGTACATCAATATATTTGTGTTAGTTCCCGTTGCCTGATGTCCCATGGGATTAAGACAGATAGAATCAGATGGTTGCTTGCACAATTAATAGTTCCTTTATAGGATAGGATCTCTGAATTTAGGGAATCTTAATCTTTTGTCAGTGGACAGTAAGCATTCTTGCTCTCTGCTACAGAAGAAGACACTCCTTCTTCCAGTATTTGCTATACAAAAGTCATTGAAAAGAGTGTCTAGAATAAATGTATTAAATGTCCCACTTGTAAGATTTGCAGAGAAGCAAGAGAAACTCATGAGCAATTGTCTCCTAACAAACACGAGAGGTGTATGTTTAGAGATTTAAACTAAAATTAGGTCACAAAAGAGTCTTTCCCAATGCCAGAGAAGAACTGTGAAAGGCAGTAAAGGGCTGAGAACTTTCTATGGCAATTTCTGTAGGTCCTTGTCATTGAAGTTCTTCCTCTCAAACTCTTGTGTATGACTTTAAAACCTAAGTTTCCTCTCATCTCTCTTAATAAAATGCAAATTAACAAAGCTTCGAAATCTACATAGTCAATTCTTCTCTCTTATGACAATAGTTCTTACCCAACTTTTTGCAAAATGAACTGAACTTTGGGTATCTTTTCCTGCTAAAACCCCAGATAATTAACCTCCTTTCCAAAGTTAGGATAGTCTTTCTGTACCTGTCAGTTTTAAAGAAAGACTTATGCTAATGGTACTCTGGTTGATTTTATTAAACACTAATTTTATTTATTTACTTGATAAATACTTATTCGTTGATTTACCAGATATTTATTTGCCCAACTTGGTTCCAGGCATTGAAAATACAAAAATGGATAAAACATCAAATTTTTTATTCCTAAAGTTTATTTATATATCAGTTGAGGAGATAGATAATATTCAAACAAATGTGCAATGCTATATAATATACAATAAATGTGAGGTACATTCCTGGCTATATATTGAAATTACCTGGTTAATTTAGAAAATTCCACCTGTTCAGTCACTTTGGTAAATATATTGATTCAGCATTTTAAGGGTTGGCTCTAAAACAATTTGCCATCTTTTTCAGCTGCTCAGGAGATTCTCATACAGATGAAGGTTGAGAACAATAGAAATAAGTGGTATGAAGGCAAGCCAAGCAGTATAGTGGAAGTAAATATTGATTGGAGTGGATGTAGATGAGGGAAGGAGTGTTGCCCTAGGGAAGGTAAACATTAATTGGAGTGGATGTAGATAGAAGGAGTGTTGCTTTAGGTAAGTGGTCAAGGGAAGTCTGAAATTTGAGGAGACTCTGAAAGGATGTGAAGGAGCTAGTCATGCTTGTATCTGGGGAGGAAGAGTCAAGGCCTAAAGAATAGCTAATACAAAAGCTGCAACACAAAGTTTGCTAGGAATATTTGAGAAAGGAAAAGGAGGTTACAAAAGAACATGTGGCTGGATCTGAATGAGACTGGTAGAAAATAAGAAAGTAAGTCAGGTGAAATACTATCACTTAGTAGTTTAGAACACAGCTTCTGGAGTTGGACTACCAGGGGTCAAAGCTCAGCTTTGTTATTTTTTAGTAACATAATGCTGGGCTAATTATTTAACCTTCTTGTAAGTCAATGTCTACTCATAGGTAAGGTGGAAATAATTAAAGTAACAAACCCTTTGTTTGTTACTTACTTTAAACCTATGGCTTAACATGTATAAACACACATACACGTGTGTGTGTGTGTGTGTGTGTGTGTGTGTGTGTGTGTGTGTGTGTATATACATTAAGCCATAACTAGGCACTTCTAAGGAGGAAAAATAAAATTAGCCTTTTCATAGATAACATTGTACTAATTGATAGCCCCTTCTGCATAGTTCACATTAATCAAAAAGTTCAAAATTTGACTTATTCTTGGTGGAAAACAGGAGGAATTATTATAAAAAATGTTATCTTACTTCTAAGTAAATATTTTATATGGATCAGTGTGAATGAATTCAGCTCTAAAAAGAAAATTTATATTGATTCTATTTCAAGTACAGTTGTGAGAATGTTAATTTACAACACAACATCCTCCTTTCTTGACTTAAAAAAAAATGCCCGAAGTTCATAGTTCACATTACAGTTCAGTCTCAGTATTTGTACATTCTACTGGTTTAGAAAAATGTATTATGGCATGTATCCACCATTACTGTGTCATACAGAATAGTTTCACTGCCCCACAAATCCTTGGTCCTCCATCCTTTCATCCCTCTTTCCCCACTACCCCTCAAAACAAATGACCTTTTCACTGTCTCCATAGTCTCCATAGTTGCAGGCATGCTGTCTGCAATGAGGCAGGCAGCTTCCACTGTGGGCACTGGGAAATAAAGTGGTGCCCAGAAGCTTGGAGATGCCAGGAACTGCAGAGCCCCAAAGAGGGTGTCAAAGCCCTGGCTCAGGGAGCTCCTTGGTCTGGGTTCCCTGAAGGGCCACAGCTCTTCTCTCCTTCTTGTCACCCACAACGTGGTGAGTGGCGGTGGAGGTATGTTTCAGCCCTGTTTGTGTTACAGCTCTTTCAGTCCTGCTGTATGGCAGGTCCTGAGTTTTTGTCTCATGTCCAGGAATAATGAGGTATACAGACAACTGGAGCATGAGCAAGGTGAAGAGATGCTTTATTGAGTGTCATTACAGCTCTTAAGAGACCCAAAGTGGGTAGCTCCTTTCTGCAGGCAGGTTGTGCTGGTGTCTATGCAGCTCTCAGTGGAGAGGAGACCAGGAGTGGGTAGCTCCTCTCTGCAGGCAGGTCATTCCATCATCTGCCTGAGCATGGTTGACTTTGTGGTTTTTATGGGCTTCAAAGGGGAGAAAGTACATGCTGATTGGTCTATAGGCAGCCATGGTTGGGCCCAGAAAAAGCACCATGAATTCTCACTTTGATCTGCAGAACTGACAGCCTGGTCCCTAGGCTTCAGGCTATCCCTGGCTTGAAGGTGGGGCTTCAATAGGGACCTACCCCTTTCCCCCCAGGAGCCTGTCTGCATCCTGCCACCATAAACCCATTGTCCACAGCACCCACAGTCCCCAAGCTGTTCATGTGGATGGGTGCCTGCAGCTGTACCCAGAAGGGCAAGGCTCACACTTCTTCAACTTGGAAGGGGGAATGAGTTCAGCCAGCTCCATGGAGTGTGTAGCCCCAGCCGTGCCTCCCCTGATGCAGCCTGTGTCTTCACAACAGCTGTTCCAGATGGCCCACCACTGCCATCACAATTGCTTGATCATATGGCTAACTTCTTATACTTATTTGTTTGCAAAACACTCACAAAAGGCTCTGTTTTATTGCATAATTGCAAAACAGAATTATTGCACTGAAAGTTTACAAAAATTGGGGAAAAAGAGCGTTATATCCTTTGGTGGCTATAAACAAGAAAAGTATTCATCAGAATAAATCTAATTCTCCTTTTGTAAAATAGTAATTCCTACCATTGCCTAATGTAAGAGAGTAGTAGCATTTGGGGTTTTAAAAGAAATAAAAAGCACGTGCTTCCCACTGATTAATGTGAGATAGCACTAAAGTAAGTTCCTGCAAACTATTTATATGTTCCTAGATGTCTGAAGCATTAGTGTATACAACTTCATACTTACAAATTTATACCCCAATTTGAAAGATAATTAAATGTTCGTTTTCACTCAAAATGTAAAAGAATTTAAAAAAAGCAGAAACATGGAAATACAAATCCAAGTATTTTATGTAGTTTAATACATTTATATATAAAAATACATCCATTCAAATAATTCCTATACTGAAGTACATAGAGTATTGTACTTTACTCATAAATATTGTTCTGAAACATTGTAGTTATCCTCATTTTACTCTACATATTTTGGTTAAGACTGTGAGCATTTACCTAACAGAATAAGGTTTGGAGAGTTAACACTGTCTGGCGAGAAATTTAAGGACGCTTTAAACTTATAAATAAGTTCTTCCTAATTTAGTTGTTTCATTGGTTACTTGGTTTTAAGCCAAGTGTTGACAAGTAAAGCATGGAAACATTTCTGGTGAAAAAATAAACTGTAAAATCTTTTGCCACTCTTAGGAGATATTTTAGCACATGAGAAATGTGTGGACTTTGAAGACTGATAGATCTCGATTTGATTGATGCTTGATCATTCACTGGCTCTGTGAACTTGAAAAAGGAACTGAAGCTATTAGAATTTAAGTTTAATCATCAATAACAGTTATTAAAAATATTAAATGAAGTAATATATAGAAAAGCTGGCTCTGATCAAGGTCACTATTGGTGTCAAGGTCATTGATTACTTTCATGTTGCTAAATCCAATGAGAAGTTCCCAGTCCTCATCTTATTTAAACTATTAGTGACTTTTGACATAGCCAAACACTCTTTCCTCTGAGAAATCATTCCTTAAATTCTAAGACACCATACTCTAAACGTTTTCCTTCAATCTAACTGGCCACTCCTTCCCAGCCTTCTTTTCTGGTATTGTATCTTCCTGATAAATAATTTCCCAGGGTTACTCTTCCTTTTTTTATTCTCCATCTGATTTACAACCCATTCATCTCAGAGCTTTAAAAACCATGTCTGTGGCTGATGAACCTCTATTGTACATCTCTAGCCCTGACCTCTTTCCTGATTTCTGGATTCTTATGCCCCACCTCCTTTCACACAAGTTTAATAGGTGTCTAGTAGATAGCTAACAATCAATATTGTCAAAATATAAATTATGGATCTTCTTTCCCCAAATATGCTCCATCTGATGCCCTATCTATTTTGGTTTTTGGCAACTTCAGTATTGCCATTGTCCAAGCTAAATTGTAGAGTCATTTTTAGTTTTAGTTTTTTCAGAAACCACATCTAACACATAAAGAAATCCTGTTAGAGACCATTGGCTCTATCTTCAAAATGATCTGGAACCTTATCACTTCCGAGCACCTCCAGTGCTGACCTCCTATCCAACCGGCATCATTACTCACTAACATTAATCTTTTATCCTGTTCCCCTATTTCTGCTCTGATCTCCTTTAGTATATTATAAACATGGCAATTAAAATAATCCTTTAAAAATTTAATATAAATCATGTCATTCCTCCACTATATATCCTGCAAAATATATTCATTTTCTTAAGAATAAAAGCCAAATTCAATTTAATGGCCTGTAAGTCCCCACATAATACTTTCTCTCATTTCTTCTCATCTTTTCTCCACTGCTCTGCCTGACATTTACAGTCCTCCAGCTATAGGGGGAGCCTTGCTATTCATCCAAGTCAACAATTCATTTTTCAACCTTGAAACCTTTGGACTGATTTGTCCTTCTTCCTGGAAATTCTTTCTCTAGTTGCCTGCACAGCTAATTATCTCTGCTACTTAAAATATTTGCCCAAGTATTATTTTCTCAGTAAGACAAATTAGTGACCTTCACTCCTCTTCTACCCACTTCAGATCCCACATAGCCTCATAGTATAATATTGACTCCTTATTATACATTATCTTTTCAAAGGAAAATATATACTGTACTGGTGATATCTGTTATGGCTATAGAAGAGAGATATGTGTTGTCACCAGTTCCGTGTATTTTGCCTGTTTATTTTCATCATCATGCAGCTTGTACCTTGTGATGTCCTACTCCATAATTAGGATTAGTAGAATTTTGCAAATACAATTTTATCTTCTGGTTTTTGTTGTCTTTTGTTTTCTGATTGGAAATCTAATTAAAAGGTAGCATTAGGTAGGTTATCATTTGATATCATATTTACGTTTTGTGAGAACTTTAAAACTGTTGGGTGGGACTTAATCTCAACAGTTCATGTGAGTTTTCCATGATCAGCTCAGCAGCGATTGAGTGTTTATGTCTGTGATCAATTTTAATTTTAGACTAATCCTTCTTAAAGTATAACTTTTGTTGACAAGGCCACAGATAGGATTTCTCCAGGTATGATTCTTGAAACAAAAATTTAGAATCTTCAGTAAGATAGATTTGGTGTGTTTACTAGCCCCTTCAGAAAACTTAATAAAAATGAGCTTCAACATAACATTACTTAAAGAACAAGATCTTAGTTTTAAACAACAGTTGTTTATGTGATCACTCCTATATAAGCGCCATCAGGAAATTTGGCCTTTTGTTATTTTTGATAATTTGAAAAGACAATCATCATATTAAACAACCATTGAGTTTCTTTTTTTGCAGCTTCCTAATTTAAATTTCATAATAGATTAATATGAATTGTGTAATTTGAGTCTATCATCTTAAAGAACTCAACTAGTATCATAATAAGAATTATAAATAATATGATCAGAGGGATAACAACGGATCTGACTCTATTTCTGGTGTTTATCTGCTAACTTTTATCAAGCCCCACCACTCCATCTTCGCCTCTGCCTTACATCTAAGTAAGCAGATAAGAAAGTCAGGGCCTCCATTTTTTGGACCTCATGCTAATTTCAAACCATGAAAGCCCCAACACACATACAGACAAGAATCCTGTCCCCAGCTCCACTCCCTAAACACAATAAAAACGAAGCTAGTTTCCTTTCTCTGCTGTCTCAAGCCATTTTCAGACCTGTTTGGGAGCCTTCCCTGGTCTCCCCAGAAACATTATAAGGCAAGTTATAAAGCTTTTTCTTTTCTTTCTTTTTTTTTTTTTTTTTTTTTTTTTTGAGACAGAGTCTTGCTCTGTTGCTCAGGCTGGAGTGCAGTGGCACTATCATGGCTCATTGCAACCTCCACCTCCCAGGTTCAAGCAATTCTCCCACTTCAGCCTCCCGAGTAGCTGGGGTTACAGGCACACACCACCCTGCCTGGCTAATTTTTTGTATTTTTAGTAGAAATGGGGTCTCACCATGTTGGCCAGGCTGGTCTTGAACTCCTGACCTAAGATGATCCGCCCACCTCAGCCTCCCAAAGTGCTGGGATTACAGGCGTGAGCCACTGTGCCCGGCATAAAGCTTTTTCATACCTTCTTGTTGAATTTGTATATAGCATCTTGAATCTGAATCAAATTACGTGTGGGTTGGGTGCAGGAACAGATTCATCCTTTTTTCATAGTGTGACCACACAAAAGCAAAATACATAATAATGAAGTACAACAAGTGGTCTAAATGAATTTCATATCTGGGCTTATACATTTGTAACAACTATAGAGCAAATAAAACTGAGTAACATTATGAAAATAATAATCCTAGTATGTTAGAGCACAAAGGCATTTATGTAAATATAATAAATGAAAATTATTCTAGTATGGTAAAGATTCACCATGCTGTAAATTTGGAAAACTCTAAGCCTACTGCTGAGTAGCTCTATGACTTTGGGTTAGATACTACATTTGCTGGCAAATGTTTTGTTTTCTGTTAAACAAAGGATTGGATTAACACCAAGTTTCTTTCCAGTTTTGTGAGTAAATATATATTTTTTTATTTTCAAGGAGAATACATTAAAACAAAGCAAAACGAAACCTCCCATATTGACAATGAAAATATTTCCGCCTATGGATATTTAAAAAACAATGTACTTCTAAGAATGAGGGTGTCATTTCCTTTCTAAAGGAAAAAAAAGAGTATTATAGAAGATGCTGTATCTGGCATATAAAATAGGCAGTTTCATACGTGAATGAACCATACTGAATTGAATATAGATCAATCAAAGAGGGGTAAAGGAAGTAAGTGAAATAAATAAGTTCCTAGGAAGCATTCAGGCTTAAAGTTTCAAGAGAAATTTAATTTATAACTGCTTCAGTTACTCCTATGAGCCAAATTTCGTGAAAAACTAAAGCAAAGTAATATTTCAATCAGAAGACCAAACATTGAAAGAAATATAATACAATGCTTCAAATACTATAACCAGTTTAACCAGTCATCTCTCTTGTCTTTACAGAAAGCCTTAGATAAGCTAAAATAAACAATTAGGTGTTTAATAAGAAAATGGAAGAAAATATTCAGATACGGACTTTTCCTCCTTCAGTTCTGCAAAGTGCCTCCAATACGCAGAAAAATATCAGCAGGATTGTGAAAATAAAGGTAGTCATGTTGAAGTATTAACTATATTTGTGAGAAATTATACATGGTTTTGGCTTATTTAAATTTAATGATGGTTACATTTAATTCCCTAATGTATTTTAGAAAATGTGAAAATTAACAAATAAAACTGCCTCTTGTTATATAGTACTCTCAAATATCTAAAAACATTTTTATAGATATCTTTACAATTACAGTCATGTACCGCATGATATTTCATACATTACAATCATGTACCTATGATATTTCAGTCAACAACAGACTGCACATACAATGGTTGTCTCATAAGACTATTTGCCATATTTGCCATATTTTTACTGTACATTTTCTATGTTTATATGTGTATAAATACACAAATACTTACCATTGTGTTACAATTACCTCAAATAATCAGTATAGTAAAATGCCGTATAGGTTTGCAGCCTAAGAGTGAAAGGCTACACCATGTAGCCTAGGTTTACAGCAGGCTATATGATCTAGGTTTGTGCAAGTACACTCCATAATGTTTGCCCAGTGAGAAAGTTCCCCAATTACGCATTTCTCAGAACAACCTTAAGTGATGCATGACTGTAACAGATTCGGGTTTTTTTTTTTTAAGGGTAAATCACTGAGAAATAATTTCTATGTAATATAAATAGAAAATTGACAAATTTATTCAATTAAGATATATTAATTAGTTGAAACAGGTCAAATATTGTTTTATGTGCTGAATATTAACAAATATTATATGTTACTTACTGAGGAAATAGCAAGTATATACCCCTCGGTCAGGAACAAGCTTTAAAAGTTCATAGACAATAAAATTATGAGCTTACAGAAGAGTGAACAGGGTGAGGGTTATAGAAAATGAGATAACTACAGGAGTTAGGAGAATAAAAGAGCAGCCTTTAGTCCTGGTGGAAATTTTGGATTTTACTGTAGGTGATCCAAAGCTACTGGGGGCAGGAGGGTAGTAACGATTGGTTAAATGACCATCCATTCCAACCCACACGTATTATGCTTTAGTATAATTCAAGGCCTGAAAACCTGTCACTTGTATTTATTTTATTATTTTTCTTCCCTGCAGGTACTTTTCTAGATGCAGGTAAGTTTTGCTAGTTAGATGCACTTACTTGAGATTTGAAATTTGTAAATAAGGAGGGTATTCTTGCTGCTATAGCTGTTGTAAGTCTGATCTTGGAGTAGGTTTGCCAAATTTAGCAAATAAACATATAAGACAATCAGTTATACTTTAAACAACACATTTTTAGTATAAGTACGTCCAATGCAATATTTAGTAAATACTTATAATAAAAAATGTATTCGTTTATGTCACATTCCAATATAAGTAGGGGTTCTTTTACGTGTTTACCCTCTACTTGTAGACATTGAGATTTTCTATGTCAAATCATAAGCTATATGTGTGATGAGAAATAGTTGTCAAGTATAACAGGGGCCTTCTCTTCCCTTATTTGCAACTCTAATAGAGTATTCTTGAAGTAATTCCTGTGGCAATCTTGTGACTGTGGCCAGTATAGCCACAACTTGTAGGGAACTCTGCGTTTCCCCCAATGTTGTGTCCTGTAGGAGCTCCCTTGCCCTGCCAGTTCAGCATCCTTCATTCGGGAGTCAATCTCAGAGGCCAAATTAAAACTGTCTGTTCTAGGTCTTCTGATGACAATTCAAATTCAGTTTTATTGAGGCAAAAATTATATAAAATACACTGCAATGATTTAAGGTATCAAATTTGATGAGTCTTGATAGATGTATACACTTGTAAAATCGGTACCAACAAGATATAAAATATTTTTATCACCCCCAAAATTGTACTGTGTCCTCCCTCCTCCCTATACCATCAACCTGCGGTCAATAATTTCTCCAGTTTCTGTTATTATAGTTTTCATTTTCTAGAATTTCATGAAAATTGAATTACACAGTATGTCCCTTTGTATATTTTTTTAAACCCAGTATAATGTTGAGATTTATCTATAGCGTCATATGTATTAGTAATTTGTTACTATTTACTGCAGAATAATATTCCACTGTATAGGTATGTTATACTTTGTATATTCATTTAGCCATACTGGTAAGTATGAAGGATATTTCCTTGTGATTTTAGTTGGCACTTCCTCAATGGCTAATAATGTTGAACATGTTTTCAAGTTCTTATCTGCCATATTTATACCCTTCTCAGTGGAATGCCTCCTTATATATTTTGCTTTTTATTAAATAATTGGTTTTAAATCTTGAGTTTTTAGAGGTCTTTATATATTTTAGATAAAAATCATGTGTGAGATAGGTGATTGATTTGTCTTTTAATCCTCTTATCGAGGTATTTGAGAAAAAATTTTACTTTTGATTAATTTTAAAATAATTTTTCATTCATAAATTGTGCCTTTGGTGGCAAATCAAAGAACTCTTTGCCTAGCCCTAGATCTTGCAAAATTTTCTCTATGTATTTTCTTAAAGTCTTATAGTTTTGTATTTTAGATATAAGTCCATGCTCCATTTTGAGTTAATGATGTGAATGAGGTATGAGACCTAGTTTGAGGTTCATTATTTGCCTTTAGATGTTCAGATGTTCCAAATGTTTCCACACCATTTGTTGAAAAGCTATCTTTTCTTCATTAAATTGCTTTTGCAATTGTGTCAAAAGTTAGTTGGATATATTTATGTTGTTCTATTTTTATGTTTTTCATTCTGTTCCATCGATCTGCAGATCTATTTTTGTGCCAATCCCACATAGTCCTGATTGCTATACATTAAGTATATAAATGGGTTGACAACTTCCTCCCTCTTTATTTCTATCAATATTATTTTGTAACTATTATATTTTCTTTGCTTCTATAAATAAACTTGGGAATCATTTAATCTATATAATATAAAATCTTGGTATTTTAGTATGAATTTGTCAACATACCTATCAACTGAAAGAGAAGTCACATCTTTGCTATGTTGATTCTTCAAATCTAAGACATTGTGTCTATAATTATTTAGATCTTTGATTTCTTCCATCAAAATTTCATTATTTTAGCATAGTAATCCTGTATATGTTTTGCTAGAATTACACCTAAGAAAAGAATTTTCTTAGAATGATTTCAAATAGTTCATTTTCAATTTTGATATTCATGTGTTCATTTCTAGTACAGAGAAATGCAGTTGATTTTTTAAATGTTTATTTGGTCTCCTGTGACGTTACTGAATTCACTTATTAGCTCTAGGATATTTTTCTTTTCAATTTTGTAGATTCTTTAAGAGTTTCCATATAAATACATATCATCTGCAAATAAGGATGGCTTATTGCACTAGCTAGAATTTTTGGTACTATGTTGCATGAAAGTATTAAAAGGAAACATTCTTATTTTATGTTCAATCTTAAGATGAATGCTTTCAATTTTTCATCATTAAGTCTAATGCTGGCTGTGGAATTTTTGTAGATGTCTGTGGCCAAGGGTCCCGATTAAGCCTTTTTTCTGACTTTTTCTCATAATTGGTTGTAAAATTTTGTTAAATTCTTTTTCATCAATTGATACATAATTTTTCTTCTTTAGCCTATGTATATATTAGATTACATGGATTAATTTGCACGTATTGAACTAGCCTTACATTCATGACATACTGTTAAGAAGTTTTATTATTTTTTATTTTTTGTACTGTCTTGAACAGGTTTTGATATCAGAGAAATACTAGCTTATTCATTAAATGAAATTGTGCTCTCTTGATCTATTTTCTGGAAGATATTATGGACAATTGATATCAATTCTTTTTTAATCATTGGGTAGACTTCTCCAGTGGACCTGGAGATTTCTTGTGGGGGATATTTTTACTGATCAATTTCTTTTAGAGTTATTGGGCTATGAAAATATTGCTTTTATGTAAGTTGTGGTGGTTTGTTTCTTGAGCAATGGGTTCATTTCATCTAGGTTGTCCTATTGACATGTGCATAGTTGTTTGCATTATTTCCTTGTTATCCTTTTGATGTCTACAGAATCTGTAGTGATATACTCTTTTTCATTCCTGATACTGGTAATTTGTGTCCTTTCCTTTCTTCATCCATGTCACTGGATAATTGTCACTTTTATTTTTCCTTTTTTAAATTGATTTCTTTGGGTTTATCTTGCTCTGGGTTCACCCACCTCCTTGAGTCTATAAGTTTGTCTTCTGCAAAATTTAGAAAGCTTTCAGCTATTATTTATTTGAGTTTTTTTTAAGTCTGCTCTTCTTCTTCTGGGACAACAACATTACAAATGAATTACAAATGTAGCAGCTCAACTAATGTTGTCAAAACATAGGTGTTTATTTAGTGTTCTCATCTTTATAACTTTTTCTCTAATGCTCAAATAAGCCTAATGACTTTAGAACTGCTTCTAGAAAGATGCCAAAGGAAAAAGATACCAAGCAATTGAAAAGAACTGGGTTAGAGTCAAATTGCTGCAAAAAGCAAAAAGCTGCAAAAAGGGATATATAGCCATTCTCTTTCTCAAGAAGTGACATTTTAATATTTTCTTAAGATTTCTGAGAAGTAACTTAGAAAGTTTTTCTCTTCCACAGTGACTTTTGCTGAAGCCATCTTTGGCCAAAGTAGAAAACATTTTATGTTGTCTGCATTTTCTAATACTAATTAAAATAATTTCAAATGACAATGCTAGATATCATTATCATTCATCTGGAAAGTAAAAGTTATTCCAATAGGAGACAGTAAAATGCTTTTATATTTTAAGACAGAGTCTTAAAATAATTTGAAATAAGTACACCTTAACTGTTAATTCAGTACATTACAATTTTTGTAAGCTGTTCAACATTAAAGGAAAAGACAGATGGTTATGTAAATTGCACAAAAGGAAATGCATTTGAACAAAAGTAAGCTCATTAAAAGAGCTGTTTTCACCTTAGAGGAGAAATCTGTTCTTTAAAGCAAAAGGTTTATTATTTTTTTTTACATTCTTTAATTTTTTTAAGGTACATCTTTTGTGGACATCAAATTCAGTTTTAATAGCATCACACAGGGAAGTAATTATTCAGGAAGGCCACATTCTGAGACTTTATTGAATTCAGAGGTTTGATTCTTTGCACATAAACATAAAACTTCATTATCTGCACAATATATGGCAGAATGTATTTGTTAGAGAATGAGATCATTGTTTGGAAACATTCATTGTGACTGCAGCTGAAAGTAATGAATGTGAAAGCAAACCACCACCAAAGTAATTATGATCTGTGTCTCTATATCTTTGTCTCAGAGCTTATTGACTGATGTGTCTCCTATCCCACCTTCTTCCATTTTTCTAATGGTTTTATCATCTTATTATAGAAAAAAAGAACAAAACTATTGAGTCTGGCAATGACCCAGGACCATCACTAGAAAATGATAACATTAATAGTTTAGATTGGCTGAAAAGTAAACAAAAATATAATTATACTGTTAACTTTATCAAATATAGAGTATAAGTTTTCCTACCAAAATTGTTAATATGGATGTAGATTCAGATATAGCTATAAATGGATAAATAGATGGACAGCAACATAGATGGGTATATATGCACATATAAGTTAAATATATTTTCAGGTATTCTCATTCACAGATATTTTAAACAGCAATGTAATTGTAATGATACAATTTTATAGGTACATAGATTGTGTGTATCTATAGTTTTTTGCATATACTACAGTTATTTTTATATATTTTCATAAATATATTTGTACTCCTATGTAGATATATCTCTAAAAAGATGGATAATTTAATATTAACCTGAGAATATTTCCAAGCATTTTTCTCAGTTGGTCCACTGAATAAAACTCAGGTTCAGCAAACTCAAGTCTCTTATTTTTCAACCCTCTGAGAAGTATCTTGCCTTCTTTTGGGTAGCTGTCATGCAAAGTCTTTTGTGACTAGGGGAGCAGGATAAGAAATTTGAGAGATGGAGTGAAGAAATAAATGAGAAGGAATAAATGCAAAGTGAGTGATATGATTTGGCTCTGCGTCCCTACCCAAGTCTCATTTCCAATTGTAATCCCCACATGACAGAGGAGAGGCCTGGTGGGAGATGATTGGCTTATGGGTGCAGATTTCTCCCTTGCTGTTATCATGATAATGAGTGAGTTCTCAGGAGAGCTGATGATTTTAAAGTGTGGCACTTCCCCTGCTCGCGCTCGCGCTCTCTCT